>NW_025791814.1:850648-1020778 GCF_000001405.40 Homo sapiens | reverse complement strand
GATCATGGTTCACTGCAGCCTCTCACTCTTGGGCTCAAGCAATCCTCCTGCCTTAGCCTCCTGAATAGCTGGGATTACAAGTTCATGCCACCACATGCTGCTAAGTTTTAAAAAATATTTCTTTGTAGAGATAGGGTCTCACTATATTGACCAAGTGGGTCTTGAACTCCTGGGCTCAAGCAATCCTCGCACCTTGGCATTGCAAAGTGCTGGAATTACAGGTGCAAGCCACCGTACCAGGCCTGGGATGTGGCTTTGAAGTGCCCTCTGTGGCATGGGATAGAGGTTGATGTTTATCAA
Source organism: Homo sapiens (assembly GCF_000001405.40). Classification (NCBI taxonomy): domain Eukaryota; kingdom Metazoa; phylum Chordata; class Mammalia; order Primates; family Hominidae; genus Homo; species Homo sapiens. The sequence continues at coordinate 1,020,478 of NW_025791814.1, read as the reverse complement.
TGAGAACCTGGTTTAACGCAGAGTTCCCAAAATGTATTCCCATTCCCCTAATTCTATTACATTTTACCTTTAAAAGGCTCGGTATCAGATTTCTGAAAACAAACTGCCTTAGTAATATACAATTGTTGCGATGAGCTAAATGATAAAATGTATAAAATGTTAACAGTCTCTCTCCTCCCCAAGTGCTTTCCAGTCCCATCCCCTGAAGTAACCAAAGGTAATGCGTTGGTTGTGTCTTTCTCCACGCACTTTGGGAAATCCTGGCTTAAAGGGAAAATATTATCGCAGTAAAGTGACTGACAGCAGGGGTGATATTCTCAGTCAAAGGCTTTTTCTGAAGATCCCCCAAGTCACATCACCCCTTAACTGACTTCAAGTCAGGTTTTGTGTCTGCCACAAAGAGATAGGTTCTTGATAAATGAAATACTGTAAATGTTTTGTATGTTGGGTATTTTAGTTGCTATAAAGAAAAAGCTTCTAAATACATCTCCAGCTATCATGCTAATGAAAAGATCTGATGTTATATGACCTGAAGGAAGGAAATAAATGTAGGCCACCTCTGGTTAAAGTAGCCATGAAAAAATGGTGCAATGCATTTCTTTTCTTTTCATTTTTTTTTTTTTTTGAGACGGAGTCTCGCTCTGTCACCCAGGCAGGAGTGCAGTGGCGCATTGCCGCTCACTGCAAGTTCCGCCTCCCGGGTTCACGCCATTCTCCTGCCTCAGCCTCCCACATAGTTGGGACTACAGGCGCCCGCCAGCATGCCTGGCTAATTTTTTGTATTTTTTTAGTAGAGACGGGGTTTCACCGTGTTAGCCAGGTTGGTCCTGATATCCTGACCTCGTGATCCGCCTGCCTCGGCCTCCATTTCTTAACCCACAAGAGACACACAAGATTTTATTTTATTTTATATAATTTTTTAAATCAGCCATTCAGAGATCTGGCACAATAAGCATAAATATCCCTTATCTGTGGACTTGCTAGTTCTGGATGAATTGTTTTGCATTCTGAGGAAAGGCGAACTCTATCAGTCTGGCTGTGCTAAGCACCGGAGATTCCACTGGGTCAGGCTCAGCTGGGTCTGAAAACTGCTTCCCAGACAAAGGCAGATGAGACACAGGTGGAGGCACTAACCGGGCCTGGAAGCCAGGAATTCAGGTTTCCACTTCAAAATGCATATCCAGTAAGCTTTAAATGTTGTTTGGATATCAAATTTGTGTAACACAATTTACTTTTAAGATTGTTTTGATTCTTACTATTCTATTTGAGACATTATAAAATAGGCACACTGACCGTATTTATGGTAAGCTCATTTTTGTAGGATAAAAATTCAGCTTCTAAAGTTAAACTCTGTTGCTTGCAAGAGTATCTCTAGTGTCATAGAAAACTAGAAGCAAAAGGCCACCCAACAGAGCATCGTTATAACATGTCGTTTGGTGCAGACGTGGGTCTGCAAGGCCAAGGTAGGCAGAACATGACGTGATCAGTCCGAACAGTGGAATAAATTCTTCCCTTTGACCATAGAGGGTTCCTGTTAGGTAAGGAACTGGTGTGCTTGCCCTGTCTCTACCAAGTTCCCAGCTGGAAACGGATGGCAGGAGCAGTGAGCAACTGTGAACTGAGGTGTGGGCACCGAGTACGAGAGGATGACATGACTCAGGAATGGCCCCAGCACAAAGCTTCTCCACTCCTAAGAGTGAAAGGGCAATGGGAGCAAAGGGTGTTATAGGACCCTCATCATGGTCAGAAGAACTGTAAGAAGCAGGTCACAGACAGGGCTTGTGGGGCAAGCCTCTCTCTTTCTGCTCTCTGGGTTCCTGTCCAGGTCTCTGTTGGCCAAACCCAATGAAATCAGTGTCTTAGTTCATTTAATCTGTGATAATAAAAGTACCATAGATTCGTGGCTTATACGTAACAGAAATGTATTTCTCATAGTTCTGGAGGCTGGAGTTCAAGATCAGGGTGCCAGCATGTTCGGTTCTGGTGAGGGCCCTCTTTCAGGGCAATCTGGTGAGGGCCGATTGCAGACTGCTGACTTCTCATTGCATCTTCACAAGGTGGAAAGAGGGTGAAATAATTCCTTGGAGTCTCTTGGACAAGGACAGTAATACCGTTCATGAGGGTTCCACCCTCATGACCTAATTATCTTCCAAAGACCTCCTAATAGCATCACATCAGGAGCCAGCACAAAGCTTCTCCACTCCTAAGAGTGAAAGGGCAAGGGGAGCGAAGGATATTATAGGACCCTCATTATGGTCAGAAGAATTGTAGGAGGAGGTTGCAGACAGGGCTTGCGGTCATTAGGAATACAGCCTAACGAGAGGACACAAACATTTAAACGCTTGCGATGAGGGAGTCAAGGTGATGCAGTCCATAGAAGTTAGCTGCTTAGGGCACAGAGACGGCAGGGAAGGGTGGAGGGCTATAGAGACCAGCCAGTACTCATAATATCTGGGATACAGTAGTCGAAACGACATCCTTATTATAGTGTTAATGTTATAAATAAAAATGAGTTGAATCTGCATTTTTATTATATTTCTATACCTATAACAAGTTCATGAGCTATTGCTGTGAAACAGGATCTCACATGAAGAATGGCATGACTTCAAGGTGGCAAAGACATGTTATTTAATAAACAGTCTCCATGATCACTCAGAAACTTTGGTAAATATAGTCTGTAACTTTCTGTCTCTTGTGCATGCGTTTCTAAAACAGCTATATGGAGATGTAATTCATATACCATATAATTTACCCATTTAACGAGTACAATTCAATGGTTTTCAGTATATTTACAGAGTTATACAACCATCATCAAATCTGACTGTAGAACCTTATTGTCATCACAAAATGGAACCTGATAGAGTTTGGTTATTTGTCCCATCCAAATCTCATACTGAAATGTAATCCCCAGTGTTGGAAGTGGGGCCTGAAGGGGGAGATCTGATTGTCTGAAAGTGTGTGGCCCTCCCCACTCATTCTCTTGCTCTGTCTCTTGTTCCTGCTCTAGCCATGTGACGTGCCAGCTCCCTCTTCACCTTCCACCATGGTTGTCAGCTTCCTGAGATTCTTGGCAGAAGCTGAGCAGATGTGGGTACCCTGTTTGTATAGCCTGCAGAACCATGAGCCAATTAAACTTCTTTTCTCTATAAATTGCCCAGTCTCAGGTATTTAGAGTAACAGAAGTATGGCCTAACACAGAGCTCTTTACCTACTCCAATTCTCCTTTTCCCATTCTCTGTTCTCTTTCTACTCCACCTGCCCTAGCCCTAGGCAACCAGTAATCTATTTTCTATTTCTACAAATTTGCCTAGTCTGGACATTTCATATAAATGGAATTATGCCACATGGGATCCTTTGTGACTGGCTTCTTTCACTTAGCTTAGTGCTTTTAAGTTCATCCACACTGTTGTAATTACTTCATTCTTTTCTATTGCTCAATAATATTTCATTATATGGATATATCACATTTTATTTACCTATTCATCAGTTAATGGACATTTGAGTTGTTTCCATTCTTAGCTATTATTAATAATGCTGCTAAAATATTCATGTACAAGTATTTTGTGGATATATGTTCTCATTTCCCTTGGGTTGATACCTGGGAGTTGAATTGCTGGGTCACGTGGTATCTCTATGTTTAACTTTTTAAGGAACTGCCCAGTTGGTTTCCAAAGTGGCTGTGTCTTATCTCATTTCCAGCAGCAATGAGTGAGGGTTTCCATTTCTTCACAACCTTGCAAAGATTTGTTATCATCTCTCATTTTGATCCTTAGTGAAGTGGTACCTCATTGTGGTTTTCATTTGCATTTCCTTGATAACTAATGATATTGAGAGTCTTTCCATGTGTTGTGGTCATTTGCACATGTTCCTTGGGGGGAAAAAGCCTCATCACATCCTTTGCCCATTTTTAATTAGCTTATTTTTAATCACTGAGTTGTAAGAGTTCTTTTTATAGTTTGAATACAAATCCCTTATCAGACTCATGACTTGGAAATATTTTCTTCAGTTTGGTGGGTTGTGTTTCCATTTTCTTGATGTTATCATTTGCAGCACAAAAGCTTTTAATTTTGATAATTTTGCTGAAGTCTGATATATACTTTTTTTTTTTTTATCACTTGTGCTTTTGGTGGGCTACTGAAGAAGACTTTGCATAATACAAGGCCACAAGGACTCACTTCTATGTTTTCTTCTAAGAGTTTTATAGCTTCAGCTCTTACATTTACATCTATGATCTATTTTGAGTTACTTTTTGTGTATGGTGTGAGGAAGTGGTTCAGTTTTATTCGTTTGCATGTGGATATCTAGTTGTCTCAACGTCAAAAAGTTTAGTCTTTCCCCCTTGAATTATCCCAGCACCCTTGTTGAACATCAACTGACCATAAAGTTAAAAGTTCATTTCTGGATTCTCAATTCTTATTCTGTTCCATTAATTTATGTGTCTGTCCTGATGCCAATATTACACTGTCTTGACTACTGTAGCTTTGTTGTAAGTTTTGGAGTTGAGAATTATGAGTCCTCCAACTTTGATTTTCCTTTTCAAGTTTGTTTTGACTATTTCAGTCAATTGCATTTCCACATGAATTTTAGGATGTACTTGTCAATTTGTGTAAAAAAGCCATCGAATATTTTAATAGGAATTGCAGTGACTTTCTAAATCAATTTGGGGAGTATTGACATTGTAATAATATTGTCTTCTGATCTACGTTAATGAGGTGTTTCATTTAGGTCTTTTTTACTTTTCCCAGTGATGTGTTATAGTTTTCTGAATACATGTTTTATGTTTCTTTCGTTAAACATATTTCTAAACATTCTATTTTTTTAATGCTATTGTAAATGGAATTGATTTCTAGATTTGATTTTTAGGTTGTTAATTGAAACTGTATAGAAATACAGCTGAAATTTGTAAATTGATCTTGTATCCTGCAATCTTGCTCAAATTGTTAGTTTTAATAGTTTTTAGTGGATTCCTCAGTGTTTTCTATATACAAGATCATTTCATTTGCCAATAAATAGTTTTACTTCTTCCTTTTCAATCTGAATGTCTTTTATTTCTTTTCTTGCCCAATTACCTGGATAATTTTTTTTCTTTTTTACAATTTTGACTAGAAGTGGTAAGAGCAGACATCCTTACTGTGTTCTTGATCTTGAGGGGAAAATATTCAGTCTTTCACTATTAAATATTATGTTAGCTGTGGGGTTTTGTAGATTTCCTTTATCAGATTGAGAAAGTTCCTTTCTATTCCTCACTTGCTGAGTAGTCTTATCATAAAAGGGCATTGGCTTTTGTCAAATGTTTTGTCCACATCTATTGAAATGATCTCAAAAATCGTATTCTTTATTGTATTAATACGTGTTGTAAGCATTGATTTTTCAGATGCTAAACAACCTTGCATTCCTAGGATAAGTGCTATTTGGTCATGATGTACAATTCTTTTGTGTATTGCTGAATTGGGTTTCTAGTATTTTAAATCTACTTTTATAAGGCATATTATGAAATTCATCCACTACAGATTCTGTCTGTAATTTTCTTGTGATATCTTTGTCTAGTTTTGGTATTGGGTTAATACTGGCCTGTGGAATGAGTTGGGAAACAATCCCTCCTCTTCTAATTTTTAGAAGGGTTTATGAAGAATTGGCCTTATTGGTTTTTCAACTGTTTGGTAGAATTAACCAATAAGGCCATCAGTATCAGTGCCTGGGCAATTTTTGAGGGTAGTTTCTTTTTTTTTTTTTTTTTTTGCCTGGAAAATTCTAATTAGTGTGATTACTATGGAACTGGAAGTAATTATTTTTTATATATTTTATTTTTTATTTTACTTTAAGTTCTGGGATACATGCGCTGACGGTGCAGGTCTGTTACATAGATATACATGTGCCATGGTGGTTTGCTGCACCTATCAACCTGTCATTTAGGTTTTAAGCTCCACATGCATTAGGTATTTGTCCTAATGCTCTCCCTTCCCTTTCCCCTTTTGCCTTTCCCCCACCTCCCGACAGTGCCCAGTGTGTGATGTTCCCCTCCTGTGTCCATGTGTTCTCAATGTTCAGCTGCCACTTATGAGTGAGAACATGCAATGTTTGGTTTTCTGTTCCCGTGTTAGTTTGCTGAGAATGATGGTTTCCAGCTTCATCCATGTCCCTGCAAAGGACATGAACTCATCCTTTTTTATGGCTGCACAGTATTCCATGGTATATATGTGCCACATTTTCTTTATCTAGTCTATCATTGATGGGCATTTGGGCTGGTTCCAAGTCTTTGCTATTGTAAATAGTGCTGCAATAAACATACGTGTGCACATTTCTTTATAGTAGAATGATTTATAATCCTTTGGGTATATACCCAGTAATGGGATTGCTGGGTCAAATGGTATTTCTAGTTTTAGATCCTTGAGGAATCACCACACTGTATGTGGGTAGTTTCTTGATAACTAATCCAATCTTCTTACTTACTATATGTCTAGTCAGATTTTCTACTTCTTTTTTACCTGGTTCCAGAAATTTGTTCTTTTCTAGCAATTTGTCCATTTCATCTAAATTATATAATTTATTTCCATATAATTTCTCATAGTACTTCCTTATCTATTTTAGTAGACTAACAATATTTCCTGATTCTTTCCTAACTTCAGTAATTTGAATCCTCCTTTTTCTTAGTCAAGCTAAATAAAGGTTTCTCAATTTTGTTAATCTTTTCAAAGAAACAACTTTTCATTTTATTGACTTTCCATTGTTTTTCTATCCTTAATTTCATCTCTAATATTTATTATTTTATTTCATCTACTTGCTTTAGGTTTAATTTGCTTTTTGTTTTTCTTCCCTAGTGTCTTCACGTGGTAGGTTAAGTTACTGAATTTAGATCTTATTTTTTAATAAAGGCAATTGCAGTTTAAAAATTCCCTCTGTCACTGCTTAATCTGCATCACATACATTTTGGTGTTATGTCTTCATTTACATTCATCTCAAAATATTTTCTGATATTCCTTTGGTTTGTTCTTTGACATATTAGTTATTTAGGAGCATGTTGTTTAATTTCCAAATTTTACGACTTTCACAAATTTTATATTGTTATTGATTTCTAATTTATTTCACTATGGTCAGTGAAAACAGTTAGTATGAGTTCAATTCTTTTAAATTTCTTTGGGCTTTTTTTGTGGTTCAATATATGGTCTATGTGGAGAATGTTCCACGTGTGCTTGAGAAGAATGTGCGTTTTGCTCTTATTGGTTGAAGTGCTCTATAGATCAGAGGTCCCAAACCCTGGGCCATGGTTTGGTACCAGTCCATGGCCTATTAGGAACAAGGCCACACAACAGGAGGTTAGCAGCAGGCAAGCTAGCGAACTTCATCTGTATTTACAGCCAATCCCCATCACTCACATTACTGCCTGAGCTCCGTTCCCTATCAGATCAGCAGCAGCATTATATTCTCACAGGAGCACAAACCCTATGGTGAACTATGCATGTGAGGGATCTAGGTTGTGTGCTTCTTATGAGAGAATCTAATGCCTGATGTTCTGTCACTGTCTCCAATCACCCTCAAATGGGACCATCTAGTTGCAGGAAAACAAGCTCAGGGCTCCCACTGATTCTACATTATGATGAGTTGTATAATTATCTTATTATATAGTACAATGTAATAATAATAGAAATAAAGTGTACAATAAATATAATGCACATGAATCATCCTGAAACCAGCCCCTGCCGACCCTCCACCCCCGCCTGTGGAAAAATTGTCTTCCATTAGACTGGTCCCTGGTGCCAGAAAGGTTGAAGATTGCTGCTGTAGATGTCTGTTAGGTCTGGTTGTTTATGGCATTATTCAAGTCCTCTATATCTTTGTTGACTCTTTGCCTAGTTTTTGTATTTATTATTGAAAGTGAGATATGAAACAATTATTTTTGCATTGTCAGGTGTGCTTTACCTATTTTGGGGACTCTGTTGTTTGGTGTATATATGTTTATAATTGCTATGTATTCTTGACAAATTTGTTTTTGTCATTATAAAATTTCCTTCTTTATCTCTATAATTATGTTTGTTTTAAAGTTTATGTCATCTGATATTTATGTAGCTACTCCAAGTCTTTTATTGCTATATACAATTTTTTATCCTCTTACTTTAAACCTATGTATATCTTTGAATTTAAAGGGTGTCTTTTGTAGATATAATATAGTTGGATCTTGTTTTTATTTTGTCCAGTCTGACAATCTTTGCCTTTGGTCAGGTAGCTTAATTCATCCACATTTAATGTTATTATTGATATGTTTGGATTTGTCTATTATTTTACTTTTTTTAAAAAATATGTCACACGTATTTTCTGTTTCTCTGTTTCTCATTTACTACTTTATTTTGCATTAAGTGAATATTTTCTAATGCAGCATTTTGATTTCTTTACTGAGTTTTTTACTATATATTTTCCAGTTTTCTTTTTTACTGGTTTCTCTGGGATTTACAATATACATATTAACTTATCAGATTCTACTTTAGATTTATGCTAACTTAATTCAAGTGAAATATAGAAACATTATTCTTACATAACTCCATTCCTTCATTCTCTTTTTAATATATTTATAATGTTTGTTACATGTTATAATAATAAATGTTTGTTTCTTAGTTTACATTTCTGTTTCTCTTTATTTCTTCCTGTGGATTTTAGTTGCCAACTTGTGTTATTTTCTTTCTCTGATATAATTTTGCTTCCACCTGCCTCCTTTGTGCTATTATTGTCAAATATATTACAATTTTGTAAGTTATGGGCCCAATAATATAATTCCATACATATTATCTTATGCACTTGTCTTTTAAATCAACTGAGAGAAGAAAGGAAAAGAAATATGCAATTATACTATCTTTTACAATTAACTCAACTATATAATTACCTTTATTGGCATATATTACCAATAACTATATATTACGTTTTTTGTCTCATAAATTTGAATTACTCTCCTGTCACTTACATTCAGTTTGAAGATATTTCTTTGGTATTGCTAATAAGACAGGTCTGCGTGCTATAAATTCTCTGCCTTTTTTGCTTTCACATTAGAAAGATTGTCTTGCTGAATATAAAATTATTGGTTCTCTCTTTTTCTTTTAGCATTTTTAATGTCATCCACTGCTTTAGCCTCCATTAATTCTGATGAAAAGTCAGCTGTTGAAATTATTGCAGTTTTCTTGTATGTGTCAAGTTGTTTTAGTCTTGCTGCTTTTAAGATTTTTCTTTGTCTTTGGCACTCAACATTTTGTCTATAATGTATCTGGGTTTGGATCTCTTACATTTATCTGACTTAGAATTTATTGAGATATTTGGATTTGTAGATAAAAAGTTTTATTATATTTGGTCTGTTTTTAGCCATTATTTCTTTAAAATTTTTTTTGTACTCTTTTCTCTCTCTGCTGGTTTGATATGCTCATTGCACTTCACTGCTTGAAGTGTTTGATGGTTCCCCACATTTGCTAAGACTGTGAATTTTTCTTTATTCTTTTTTTCTGTTCTTCCAATTGCATCATCTCTATCCACCTATCTTCAAGTTTGCTGATTCTTTCTTCTACTAGCTCATATTGACTTTTGAGCCCCTCTAGTTAATTTTTCATTTTGGTTAGTGTAATTTTCAACTCTAGAAATTTCATTTGGTTTGTTTCAGCAATTTATATCTCTGTCGATATTCTCTATGTGATGAGACATTGTAAACATATAGACCTTTACTGTTTTAAAGCATGGCTTCTTTAGCTCTTTGGAAATATTTATAAGAGAATCTTTGATGTTTTCATCTAAGTCCACAATTTGAGTCTCTTAAAGGTACTTTCTGTTGCCTGGTTTGTATTTTTTATTTTCTGTGTATGTGTCACTCTTTCCTATTTTTGTTTTTGAATGATCTTTCTTTTTCTTTCTTTCTTTCTCTCTTTCTCTCTCTTTCTCTCCATCTCTAGCTCTCTCTCTCTCTCTCACTAAAACATGGACATCTTAGATAATATATTGTAGCAGCTTTCGACACCAACCTCCCTCCCCTGAGGCTTGTTGGTGTTATTTGTTTTTTTATCTGTTTAGTGACTAGTGACTTGGCTGGACCAGTTTAGTGAAGTCTGTTTCCTCTGCAGTGTGTCACCTTTGATATTGCTCCTCACAGGGTACTGACTTGGACATGCATGACAACAGTTTTAGCCAGGCTTTCTGTGACCAATCTCTTCGTGTGATCTCCCCATTAAGCTTTGGGCTGTTTTCACGGTGTTGAGATCACACTCAACTATTATCTTCCACTTATTGCTAGCTGATTGCACTATTGTTTTTTGCACTGCCCTGGGGCATACATTGCCCCACCTTCTAATCCAATTAAAATCAGGCCCTTTTGCAGAGGTAGTTTTTGAGGCTTTCTCTGACTCCAGATGACTCTTCTTAACTGATTCTCCCCATGGTTCTTTCTGATAAACTTCTAGCTTCTCTCCTATTTCACATATTGATATCATGAAGCTATAAGCCTTCTGTTAATTGTTTACCACCACAATCTCCATTGTTTTTTCACAATGTCCTTTGGCTTGGACTTTCCTATGCTCTGTTCCAAATAAAGACAGTCCTGTTAGGGACAGCTACAGAGTTCTCTGTTTCTATAGACTGTCTCTCTCTTGGGAAGAGATTTTATATATATTTCAACTTCTCTTTTAGATACAGGGGGTACACGTGCAGGTTGGTTACATGGGTACATTGTCCATAGATAGTGAACATAGCATCTAATAGGAAGTTTTTCAACCCATGTGCACTCCCTCCCTCCCGCTTCAAGTAGCCTGCAGTGGCTATTGTTCCTATGTTAATGTCCATGTGTGCTCAATGTTTAGCTCCCACATATAAGTGAGAACATGTGGTATTTGGTTTCTGTTTCTGTGTTATTTCACTTAGGGTTATGTCCTTCATCTCCATCCATGCTGCTACAAAGGACATGATTTCATTCTTTTTTATGGCTGCATAGTATTCATGGTATATATGTACCACATTTTCTTTATCCAATTCACCATTGATGGGCACCTAGGTTAATTCCATGTCTTTGTTATTGTGAATAGGGTGGTGATAAACATATGAATGCACGTGTCTTTTTGTTATAATTATCTGTTTCCCTTTGGGTATATACCCAGTAATGGGATTGCTGGGCTGAATGGTAGCTCTGTTTTAAGTTCTTTGAGAAATCTCCAGACTGCTTTCCACAGTGGCTGAACTAATTTACATTCCCACAAACACTAAATAAGCATTCTCTTTTCTCTGCGTCTTTGTCAGCATCTGTTGCTTTTTTATGTTTTGACAATAGCCATTCTGACTGGTGTGAGATGGTATCACATTGTGCTTTTGATTTGCATTTCTCTGACGATTAGTGATGATGTGCATTTTTTCACATGTTTGATGGCCACTTGTATGTCTTCTTTTGAGAAGTGTCTCCTCATGTCTTTTGCCCATTTTTTAATGGGGTTGTTTTTTTCTTGTCAATTTGTTTAAGTTCCTTATAGATGCTAGATATTAGTCATCTGTCAGATGCATAGTTTGCAAAAATTTTCTCCCATTCTATAGGTTGTCTATTTACTCTGATGATAGTTTCTTTTGCTGTGCAGAAGTTTGTTAGTTTAATTAGGTCCCACCTGTTAAAATTTTTTTTTTGTAATTGCTTTTGAAGACTTAGCCAAAAATTATTTGCTAAGGCCAATGTTAAGAAGGGTATTTCCTAGGTTTTCTTCTAAGATTTTTGTAATTTGAGGTCATACATGTAAATCTTTAATCTGTCTTGAGTTAATTTTTGTATATGGTGAAAGGTAAGGGTCTAATTTCATTCTTTTGCTTGTGGCTAGCCAGTTATCCCAGCACCATTTATTGAACAAGGAGTTCTTTCCCTATTGCTTGTTTTAGTCAGCCTTGTCAAAGATCAGATAGTTGTAGGTGTGTAGCTTTCAAAATAATAAGAGCCGTCTATGACAAACCCACTGCCAACCTCATACTGAATGAGCACAAGCTGGAATCATCCCCCTTGAGAACCAGAACAAGACAAGGATGGCCTCTCCCACCACTCCTAATCAACATAGCAGTGGAAGTCTTAACCAGAGCTATCAGGCAAGAGACAAAAATAAAAGGCATCCAAATAGGAAAGGAAGAACTCAAACTATCTCTCTTCACTAACAACATGATCCCATACTTAGAAAACCCTAAAGACTCCACCAAAAGGCAATGAGAACTGATAAAAAATTTTAGCAAGGCTTCAGGATACAAAATCAATGTGCAAATCAGTAGCATTTCTATACACCAATGATACCTAGGGTGAGAGTCATATAAAGAACACAGTCCCATTTACCATAGCCACAAAGAAAACAAAATACCTAGGAATACAGCAAATCAAGGAGGTAAAAAATCTCTACAAAGAGAACTATAAAACCCCAATGAAATAAATCATAAACAAAACAAATAAATATAAAAATATTTCATGCTTATAGGTTGGAAGAATCAATACCATTAAAATGGCCATACTGCCCAAAGCAATTTACAGATTCAACACTATTCTTATCAAACTACCAACAGTATTCCTCACAGAATTAGGAAAAATTATTCTAAAATTCAAAAAAGAGCTCGAATAGGCAATGCAATCCTAAGCAAAAAGAACAAAGCCAGAGGCATCACACTGCCCAACTTCAAACTATACTATAAAGCTACAGTAGGCCAGGTGTGGTGGCTCACGCCTGTAACCTCAGCACTTTGGGAGGCCAAGGTAGGCAGATCACTTGAATTCAGGAGTTGGAGACTAACCTGGCCAACATGGTGAAACCTAGCCTCTACCAAAAATCACAAAAATTAGCTGGACATGGTGGCAGGCACCTGTAGTCTCAGCTACTTGGAAGGCTGAGGTGGGAAAATCGCTTGAGTCTGAGAGGCAGAGGTTGCAGTGAGCTGAGATCACGGCACCACACTTCAGCCTGGGTGACAGAGCAAGACTCTGTCTCAAAAAAACAAACAAACAAAAAAGCTACCGTAACCAAAACAGAATGGTGCTGGTACAAAGACAGACACATAGACCAATGGAGCAGAATAGAAAACTCAGAAATATAATCTGCTCTTAAGTTGAAAGTAGGAATAGAGGCCTATTTCTATACCCCTGATCTATGCATGGAGCATTAAATGGGGTGATAGCCTCTGGTATTCTTAGCTTGCTTCACCTGGCATAGAATCTCTACCCTACAAGTGGGCTGGGATAAAGATAATTGGGGCCCAATATTCTTGGCTTGCCAAGCAAGGGGTAGAACTTCCATCCTATGAGAGGGGGCTGGATGGAGGAGGGGAACCCCAGACATCTTGGCCAGGCTTACTTGGAGTAGAACTTCTGTAGCACAGAGCCAGAGGAAGGGTGGATGAGAAATGCTGGTGGCTTCACCACCCTGGGGAGAAACTGTAGCTATTGTACCACTAAGGGAAATGGTAGCCTTATGTTCTTGGCTGTAAGTTCCTGGAGTATAGCTTTGATTATACTGAGTTGGGAGTGGGGTAGGGAGAGAAAATGTCATGGCTCAGATGCTTCAGATTCTTGTTGTTCTTACAGAGACTTAGTTGATTTTCTTGAAATAATGTTTCTACATTTGTGGTATGCCTCTCAGGATGATTTCCAGGGATATATATATATATATATTTTGTATATACTTATATATATTTATATATATTTATAAATATATTTTATATTGCTTGCTTCACCTGGCATAGAATCTCTCTCTCTCTCTCTATATATATATATATATATATTTTTTTTAAACGTTTTCCACTAGGTATGGTTGTTTCACTAAAGAGAGGGTTTATGTAGCTCCTTATACCACCATTCCAGAAGTGTCCTTCTATATGATTTTATGTGTTTCTTTTTGTTTATATTTTTAGATAGTTATTTGTTTTTCAGTTTTCTGACTTATCTGTGTACTTGAGTTGAAGAATTACATAGTTTACAAGGTTTGCTACAAAATGACATCCTCATCTCCTCTCTCTATTTTCCCTAAAAAATCACTTTTAATTCTTTTTAATTGATATTAAAAACTTATCTCCTTGTTTAGAAGTAATATATTTATAGAACAAAATCTTTTTTAAAATAATTTCAGTTTTATTGCCAGGTGTGGTGGCTCATGCCTGTAATCTCAGCACTTTGGGAGGCCAAGGTGGGTGATCACCTGAGGTCAGAAGTTTGAGACCAGCCTGGCCAACATGGTGAAACCCCATCTCTACTAAAAATACAAAAAAAATTAGCTGGGCATGGTGGTGGGCACCTGTAATCCCAGCTACTTGGGAGGCTGAGGCAGAACAATCACTTGAACCCAAGAATTGGAGGTTGCAGTGAGCCAAGATTGAGCCACTGTACTCCGGCCTGGGTGACAGAGCGAGACTCCATCTCAAAATAATAATAATAATAATAATTTCAGTGTTATTAACTTCCCATGATAGCAGATGAATACTGAGTTCTATTTCACTCTGCCATATCTCTGACATATGCTTCCGTCATGCCTCTCTCAAGGTAGTTGTCATATTCATTAGATCAATACTACATGTTCATATCAGTGTTTCTGAGTAGTCCCAATATTAATAGCTGAGCTATACAGAGTAGTGCTTTCTTTCCCTTCTCATTTTTAAAAATTTATTTTTTCCTAAGGTTAATATTTGTTGGGCTCTCTTATTTGCTTGGTTTCCCATGTCATTATTACTAATTCCAAACTCTCTCTGATTTATGTAATTTTCCTCTTACTGTATTCAAGCACCCAGACATTTAAAGACATCTCCGGAGAGCTTCTGACCAGATTCTGCCTGAACTTGTTGCTCTCTGGGCTTAGGATGCAGCTGCATCTTAGGATCCTCACCATCCTTTTGGACAGTCCCTTCATCCCTGTCTTGTTTTAGATCTTCTGTTTTCTGTACCTCAGGTCTTCTTTTTTGGTTTCTACTTTTGTTTTAGTGGAGTTCATCCTTCAGTAACTCCCTGATAAAGCAATAGGGGGGTAAAGTTTTTCAGACCTTGTTTTATGAAAGTATATTTATTCTACTTACTAATAGTTTGCCTGGGCATGAAATTCTAGGTTGGAAATAATTTTACCTATGGTTTTGAATGACTTGGTCATCTGTTTTCTAACTTCTAGTACCATTTTTAAGAAATCCAATGCCATACTGATTCTCAATCCTTTGTATTAAATGTAACTTTTTTTTCACGAAGAGTTTACAGGATGGGTTGCTGCTGTATCCTAAAGTGTCACGTAAGTGTGCTGAGGTGTAGGTCTATATTCTTCTGTTGTGCTAGATATTTGATGGGCCCCTTCAGTTTGGAAAATCATGTCCTTTGAATCTGAGAAAGCTTCTTGGATTCTTTGAGCATGCTCTTCCCTCCATGTGATCTCACCTCCATCTGGATATCCTTTAAGCCAGATGTTAGACTCCATGGGCTAGTCCTCTAAATTAAAAAATGTCTTATATCTCCAATTTTCTTTCTTTAATTATTTTCTGCTTACAAATATGTTTAGTAGTAGCATTTCTTTATGTTAAAGAAAAACAAAGTTCAAATGCCCAACCATAATTATGTTAAACACTTGGTATGCATATGAATAAAGACAAAGGGCTGCTGAGCAAATCTGAATTTAAATAGAGGTGTTGTAGGTATAATTAACCGTAACTTATTTTTTGAATAAGTAAGAATAAAGTCACTGGCTGCAAAGGATTATTAGAGATGTATTTTCCAAAATTCATTTATCTGGACTCCCTCTCCCCACCTCTACCCCCTGCCAACTGAGCAGACCTCCCACTATTAAACCAAAATGACTACTCACCCTCACCCCCCAGCAGTTATAATACACAACATCACTGCCCCACCAGATCAGGGGAACAGGGCATTTGGCCTGTGGCTCTGCAATCTTTATCCTAATCTTGTTCCAGCTTCAAGAGCCTAACAGACGCCTGTGATCACCTGAGACTTCTTAAACAGCACCGATACTTCTATCTGGTTGGAACCTTAAATGCCACCACTCTTCAGAGACAAGGTTCTCACTAGATTCTAAATCTGTTATTTAAATTACTTTTCAATTTAGAAAAGGAGAGAGAGAAGAAACTTATTAGAATAAGGCCACCTAGGAATGTTCTTAACCTCTCCATTGAGCTTTTGGCTGATACACGAAACTACACATAATAAATACAACTTTTCTTCCAGGTGCACAGCTAAACAACAGCTTCTGGCACTTGATCTCCAGTGTTCAGAAAGACGCACTGCCCAGAGTCAAGCTAGTGTGTAGATCCAGTGGCCTCTGCCAATGAGGGCTTGCCAGTCATCAGAGGACAGACAAATAGGATCCAGCACCAGTTATTGGGCCTTCCCGCCTGTTGAGTTTCACAGGCAGGACGTGTGTGAGGGGAGTAGCCCATACTTCTGTTGAAAGATGGCTGTAGTACTCTTTAGGGCACAGATGATGACAAACTTTCCAGGAACAGATAAGTCAACTGCAGTGGAGCCCAGGCAACATTCAGGGCTCTGGCCAACCCTGATGTGTCCCGCATCAATGAATGAGGACAATCAAAGCCAGAGGTCTTGAGACTCCTCAACATTCAGAGAATTGGCCTGGGAGCTGAGGCTGGCACTGGAGAGAACAACAGGTTCCCCAAACACTTAGGCCAAGTCTTGCATAAAGGCATGATTAGGAATCCAAATGCCTACAAGAGGAGTGAAGGTGTTCTTCACTCCTTCAGGAGTTCAGGTACTTGTCCCGCTCTTCTAAGCATTCCATCACCAGGTCACTGGTCCTGGCAACAGGTCTTTCAAGAGCTCCTTGAGTACTCTCCCATGGCAGGACCTTGTGCATTCCTGCATCCTGGCATGGAGTCCGGAGCCCGGCATATGTTAAGTGTTCAGTACACATTTCCCATTCCAGACTCCTTGGGGAGCCTGGACAAGCCCTTCCTGCTCTTTCTTTAAATTTTTGCTTTAATTTCTAGATGACGGTTTCCAGTCTTTCTATTGAATTTTTCAATTCTGCTATCATGTTTTTAATTTCTAAGAACTTTACTTTTGATCTTTGAATGTTCCTTTTAGAAAAATAACATGTATTCTATTATTACAGATGTAATATTTTTTATCTTCTCTCTCTGAGGGTAATGGTTGATTTAATGACATTGTCTTCTTGCCAAAGAGTCTTTTTCTTTTATGTCACTATTTTTTCGTTTTTGTTTATCTTGCTCACTGTCTTTTAGAATAGATTTTTTTTAATGGCTTGGCTCTTTTGAATATTTAATCTCTGCTTGCACTTAAGAATTGTAAAATGCTGGTTGGCAGCTCATTGACACCCATGGACTCATTGACTCTCTAGAGCAGTGGTTCTCAAAGTGTGGTCCATGGAGCAGCAGTGTCAGCATTCCCGAGGTGCTTGTTAGACATGCATGTTCTTGAGCCCCTCTCAGACCTTCTGAATCAGAATCTAGAGTGAGACCCAGCAATCTGCATTTTAATGCCTCCCTCCCACCATAATTGTTATTCATGCTACAGTTGGAGAAGTACTGAAAATTAAGGGTGGTCTGCCTTGGTGGCTTCAATGGGGGGATCTGCATGGCAGTATCTTAGTGTCTCTTTTGGACTGACCAGGTATCACAGTGTCATCTCTGGCTGCCAGACTCCTAAGAGCCTACTAGAGAAAGAAGGTGGGGAATCTCACCCTTCAGTATATGAACATTTCTTTAACATCCTGTTTTCAATTTGAATTCCATTTTCAACTGTGTCTGGTGTCATTCAATCCAGAGACTGTTTATCTCTCTCTAGAATCAGACCCTGGGTCTTCAGTCAGATGACAGAGTGGCAGTTCCCTTTTGTCCCTCTTGCTGGTTCTGCTACATCTTGCCTTCAGTTGTCTTGGTTTCATAATCTCCCATGTTGGCTCCCACATTCCACACAGAGCCCCCAGAGCTCTGCAGGATCAGCTGCTGCCTGTGCCTCCTGACCCTCCTCTTGCTTCCCACACTCCAGCAGACCAGGCTCCCAGCCATTCCTGGTCACTGCAGCAGCCCTCCTTGCTGAGGGCCTTGGCATGTGCTTTCTTCTCTAGCAATGCTTTCTTCTTCCATCCTCCTTCACCCAGTCTAATTCTTTACTACCTGTTAATGGCTGAAATGTGTTTCTCTAAAAGATGTTGAAGTTCTAACCCCCAGTACCTGTGAATATGACCTTATTAGAGATGATCAAGTTAAGATGCACTCATTATAGTGGTTTCTAATCCAATATGCCTGACGTCCTTATAAAAAGGAGAAGCCTGGACACGGACAGGTGCACTGGGAGAATGCTGTGTGAACCCCAAGGCAGAGAACGCCATGAGAACATGCAGCAGAAGCCGAGGAACACCCAAGACTGCTAGCAAATCACTAGACGCTGAGGGTAGGCCAGGAAATGATCCCTCTCTCAGAGCCTCAGAAGGAACCAACAGTGCTGACACTTGATCTTGAACTTCTGACCTCCAGAATCGTGAGAAAATGCATTTCTGTTTTGAAGTTACCCTAGCATGTGGCGCTTTGTTACAGCAGTCCCAGGAAAGTAAGACACCACCCGCTGGTCCTCCTCATGATGCTGTCTGATCACTCATCCTTGGTTAGGACCTCTTTGCCGTATCTCCCCACACCTTACACTTTTTCACCCAAGTACTTTCCATAGTACCATTATTTAATTGCAATTTCTTTAATTATTCAAATGTTTCACTACTTGTGCAATTCTTGGTTTTATTTGCCCCCATTAGTCTTCTTGTCAGTCCTCTGTGCATGCAGGGGTTGGGGTCATTTCTGTCTTATTTACCAACATACCCCAACCACTTAGCACAAGATTTGGCACATAGCGATCTTGGTTAGCTCTGGTCGAAGGATTTAATTTTCTTTGATTTCTTCCGTCTCCCTCTCCTTGAGGGTCGCATTAGATTTAGACGTATAAAGTAGTCTGTGACCTTGGCCCTCCTACTGGAAAGGAAGCTCCAGGTCTGCCCCCAGCTGTACTTACTGTGGCTGGCCACTTACTGCCCTTCCTGGGCTGCTGTCAGGGAATGAGGGAACTGGTCTTCACTTACAGCCGTGGCCTCCACCAGGACATTGGACTCACCCGGGGCTTATAAAATGCAGACGCCTTGTCTTCACAGCAGCTCAAGCTCTCTAGGTAATTCTAATATGGGAATCACTGAATTTGAGCCCATTTACACCTATCTTAAGTACAGTAGTAATTTATTTGGTCACTTGTATTCCTAGTTCATAGCTGATTAAAAACCAGAAGTGAATATGGGGGCTGGGTACCAGAAACTGCTCCCAAACACCAAACAATTGAGTTCCGCCAAATCAATGGGAACACTAAGTATAGGGACAGATGGGCCTCTGACCTACACTGTAATGTTCACAATGATGGGCTTAAGTAAATAAGAAAACTTTAGTTATGCTCTGTGTGCATTCCTTAACAAGGTGGAAAATGATAAATCACTAACAGTGCCACATTGAGCTCTTCTGATGTACCAGGCACAGCTCTGAGCAGAGATGATATTTGATTTAAACCTTACAAGAACCTTATAGGTTATGTTTTGTTGATATTCCTATTTTTCAGGTGAGGAAGCTGAGGACTAGAGAGAGCCAGTGAGTTGTTCAAGGACACATTACTAGTAATAGGAGGGACAAATTCAAATCTTCATCTGTCCAACTTGAAAGTTGGTAATATAAATGTTTTTTGAGCAAGTTCCTTTTTTTCCCATAAAAGAGAAATTTTTTTGTGAAAATTCATTTATGATGGCATTGCCTACCAGTGCCATGTTAATGACACTACCAGTGTTAATGACCTACCAACACCATGTTAATCGTGTGTTTACTTAAAAATTACCCACAAGAATGAATTGGGTAATGGATGACAAATGTGAACTTTTCAAAAGTTATTTAATTTTTATTCAGACCACACTGGTAGATAAAAAGAAAACTAGAAGTGATTCTATGGTGTTTTACTCCTTTGCACCTTCTGAAGAGAAGCAGATGCTTTACTGAGTTGTATTTGCTGGGTTTTCCCATCTGATTAACAGTGAATAGCAGAAATGTGCTCTTTTACCTCATCTTCCCTTTTCTGGCCTGCTTTGAGGCTCTCTTGGTAAAATGTCTGGCCTAAGACAGGACGTTTTTTGTGGGCTGGTCCAGACCCCATCTTTGCCTCACTTTCCTGCATGGTGAGTTCAGATCAGGTTGCTATTATAAGCTGATTCTCATAAAAGTCTGCGAATAAGAAAAAGGAGAGCTTGTAGCACTGGGAGATTTACATTCCTCTCCTGGTAGCAAGAAGGTCATTCTGAATATCTGTTTGCAGGGAAATATGCAGTTTGTGCTTTCTCTGCAGGTTCTAAGGTCTCTCCTCTAAAATGGATTGTTGCAGTTTCTTCAAGGGAGTCCAAACAGGGAAAAGAGAACTGGAGTGAAAGAGCGTTTTGTATTCGCCCACACTTCCTCCTCTACTAGTTGATTATGAAAACCCCCAACCTAACAGATGGCTTGGTGCAGGGCTCTTTGTTGAAGATACTATTATTAACAGATGAAATGCATGTGTCCTCCACACAGACATCTCAGGAGGGCAGCTCTCCAGCCAGATGACGGTCCAATATTCTATTAGCTTGGTGTGAAAAGGAGAGAATTTTTAAATCAGTTACTTTCACTCTGAAGTGCAAGGATAAGATGTAATTCTGCATTTTTCTTTTCCTAATTGGAAGAAGACGGCTTCTAAGTCTAAAAGTTTACTTTGTTGGCATTTGACTGACTAAGACTCTAGTTTTGGTGGCTGGAGATTTAAATTCATATTAGACTCATTAAGAAACACAAGTAAAACTTTCAGAGTAGAAATGAATGGGCAATCCCCAAATAATTCAGTGGTACTTTTTAGCTTATTGAGCCAAATATACTGATAACAACTTTTAGGCATCCACAGTTATCCAAACTCAAGTCTCAGTTGGGGTTACGTTTGTGGCTTCTCAGAGTTGGACGGGACCTCAGAAGGCTAAACACATTTGAATGTGAGGAATCTAAAAAAGTGAGGAATTACCAGCACTTATACAGTAATTAAAAAATCAGATTAGAGTTGGTTTGGTTTTTTTTTATTATTTTATGTTAATAAATAACACTCAATAAATAGTGATCAACCTGGGTTGCTGCCGGGGAAAGGTACCCAGACCTTGTAACACTTAAAATATATGCAAAATAACTTAAAAGTCTTGATCACGACACTGTAAAAAGGTTGAAGGAATGAATTTCCAACTTTCCTGCTGGTTAACGAGTGGAGATAGAAAGGGAGATATGTGTTAATTTTGAGGAAACTTCCTTCTTATTCTTTACCACACAGCTCTACTGGGTAATTTCCTTTTGAGTCAACTGTAGAGTGAAGAACAAAGGCTTAGATATCTCATGAAAAATTCACTGGCTGTAGGTTCATAGAGTATCCAGCACTGTCCAATATAACTGTCTGCAATAATGGAAATGTTCTATATGTCAGCACTGTTTAATATGCCAGCCACTCACCATTGTGGCTACTGAGCACTTGAAATATGGTGAGTGCAACTGAGGATCTCATTTTTTTTAAAGTTTATTTTAATTAATTTACCTTTAAATTGAAATAGTCACATAGCTAGCAACTGACGTATTTGACAGTTGTAGAAACCATATATAATAACCCCTTAAAGTTCATTGGTATCTTTTTATAATTAAAAAGTAGACTTGTGCATAGTAAAATAAAACAAAATTAGTAAGAACACATCTATTTAATAAAGAAGGCTATTTCATGAAATTATATATCCCTTCTCTGTCCTACCCCAGTCTGTTTTTTGAGATGCAACTATGGATAACAGCTTGTTATAGATCTCTCCAAGAGCTTTCTATGCATGTATAAACAGAGAAATGAATACACATTTCTTTATGGGAGTGGGAACATACAGTATCCACTAATTTTATTTCATTACTCTTCCAGCTTCAAAACATCTGGAGATCTGTTATATGAGCCCTAAAGCTGCCTAGTCATTTTAATAGCTGCATAATATTCCATAATCTAGATGAATTATTATTTAATTGTTCCCTGATGGTGGATATTTGGGTTTTTCCCATCCAGTTGCTATGGTGTAATCACAGAACTGACCATTCATCCAGTTATATTTTTGCATATGCATGTGTGGCTGGTATTTTCAATGATAGTAAATTGCATGAGAAGAGAAATCTCAGAGACAACACCAGGATGCAAGTCATTTAGGATTTAATAAGTTTTTGTCCTTGAAATGCTCTCAGAAACAAACAAGAGTGAGTATAATTTTCATACAGTGAGCATAATATTGACTGTAAGCACCATGTGAGAAACAGTTGCTGTCTGTTTTGTCCACTGATATATACTGTGTGTTCACAGTGCTAGCCAGTAGCAGGGGCTGAATAAATCTTTGTTCAATGAATAGGTAGATGTCCTGGTTGTGGATCACATTCTGAGTCTTTCACTTGCTTTGGAAAGGATCTGCCAAAGACCGAAGAGATTAAATTTGTCTTAAATAACAAAGGCCATTAATATCTCTCACAGTCACATGTTATTTAGTTTTCAGTTGCTCCTCAGCCATCCTTGGAGGAATATCCATTACTATTCCTAGAGAAATAGTCATGAAAAAGTTAAAATACCTTAGAAATATTGAGAGTTGCTTTTCAAAACTTTTCTTAAGATGTGATGAAATCATATAGGCATTGGCAAACAGATGGCATTAGCTATGGTCTGGACTGCGGGTGCTGCTTCTAGTTGCTCTCAGTGGGCCTTCCTCAGCTGAGAGGGCACTGCCCTCAGCCACCCTGGCACATGCCATGCCTCTGCAAGGCAAAGGATAGAAACCATGAGCAAGGCAGTCAAGTGGACTTGAATCTGGCCCTTTCCTTACTCTCCAACCACAGATCTCCATAAATATGCTATGCCCTTTTTTCTGTAAACCACTTACCATCCCTCCCATTCCCAAAAAACGTTCACTTCTGCAAGGACTTGCTCTGTGTAAGTGCAGAAAACAGGTTCCATCTCCCGTGTCACTTCCTTTACTCTCAACTGCTGTTTCCATGGAGTTTTGTTTCTGACTTCTCCCTACCCCATGGCCCGGCCTTCTGGAGGAGAATGAGGAAGTGAACCTGATGGGGTACTGTGATGGTTAATTGTATTTGTCAACTTGACTGGGCCATGGGGTGCCCAGATAGCTGGTGAAATATTATTTCTGGATGTGTCTGTGAGGGTGTTTCTGCAAGAGACTTACATTCGCATTGGTGGACTGAGTGAAGTAGATGGCCCTCTCCATTGTGGGTGGGCCTCATCCAATCTGTTGAGAGCCTGAGTAGAACAAAAAGAAGAAGGAAGGTTGAATTTATTCTCTACCTGATCCCTTGAGCTGGGGCATGTTTTCTGCCCCAAGAGTTTCTGGTTATCAGGCCTTCAGATCCAGACTGGAATATATACCACTGGCTCTGCAGCTCTCAGGCCTTTGAACTACACCACTGACTTTCCCAGGTCTCCAGCTGGCCGATGGCAAGGTATGGGACTTCTCAGCCTCCATCGCCATGTGAACCAGTACCGTACAGTAAATTGCTCTCTCTCTCCACACACATATATGTATAGGGGTGTGTGTGTGTGTGTGTGTGTGTGTGTATGTATACATATAGTCTATATGTCTATATGTAGTCTATAATATAATATATGTATCCAATTTGCTCTGTTTTCTCTTAAGAACCCTGGCTAATATAAGCATGTTACTTTGTTTAGAGATTTTAACAATGAGAAAAGGTCAAAATGGCCTCTTATCCAACACATGTCCACTATAGTGGGGGCTGCAGAATGAAACACACCTTCAAGGCTGCTTATGAACTCTCAGGAGGATATGGATGACATGAGGGAGAAGTGACAAGTGATATGGGAAGAATGGGCCTGTGGACCCACAACTGTGATGGAAAGTGGGTTCACACCCCTCACTAAAGGTGCTGCTAGGTTTCAACTAGGCAGGACCTGAAAGATCAGAAGAAAAGGAGACAAGAGAATTTTGACTTTTAACTTAGTTCCACTGTGTACCTGACAAGCTGTTCGCTGTATTGTGCTACACAAATCTTGTCAGGTTTCATAATTTACTTAATTTTGTTTCTTTATTGCCTTTTAACATAATTTTAGATTTTTTAAGAAAATAAAAAGAATCAAACAACCCAGAAAAGTATAATAGACAAAGAGAAAACTGGCTTCCCACTACTTAGATAGCTACCATTGCCATTTTAACAGTTATATTTTACATAAGTGAGGTTATGTTATATGTGTTGATTTTCTAAACCCCTTTCTTTTTTTTGTTTTTTGGTTTTGTTTTTGTTTTTTTCCCTTTCTCCTCCTCTCTCCACCTCAACCCAATCAGGTAACAAATATTAACATTTGCTGTGCAACATTTTTTCACCCTTACAAGATTTCAGTCTCTCTCTCTCTCTCTCTCACACACACACACACACACACATACACACACACACGTGTATTTTACGAAAGTGAGATATTTCATGTGTTCTTCTGTATCTTGCTTTTTTCGCTTAATTAAATGTGGTGGAAATGTCTACACATCCCTGATTTTTTATGACTATATTTAATTCAACATCCCTCGAGGATAGGCATTTGGATGGCTTCCTCCCTTCTTCCTTTCCTTTCCTTTTCTTCTTCTCTGTCTCTCCTCTTTCTCTTGTTTCAGCAAACTATTCGGCAGCAGATAGCACTGCCCATACAGCTTTAGGTTCTGCTGATGTTTTATCTCAATGGAACAGATGCCTAAGACTAAGACTGCAAAGTTGAAGTGTAGGTGATTTTTGTTTTGTTTGTAAATAGATATTGCCAGAATCCATTAAAATTAAAAACAGCTACAAAAGTATCAAATTGCCACCAACAATGTCCACAAGTATCCTTTCCCCCTGTGTCCCACCAACATTAGTTTCCTTGTCATTTAGTTCTTTTCCATGTGGAGGATGAGAAGAAATATGCAATTGTTATTTAAATGTACATTTCCCTGCCTATTAATGTGGTTCAGCTTCTGCTCAGGTTTATTGGCTGTTTTGTTTTCTTTTCCTCTAAACTATCATATTCAAGTCCTAGGCCTATTAATTGCTTTTTGTTATCAATTGTTAAATGTTCAACCTTATATTGATATTAGTCCTCTATCTTGCAGGTGGTGAGTGTGCCCCTTAGTCCACCCATTACTTGTCTTCTGGCTTTGTTTTGGTCAGAAGTTTGCCATTAAAAGAATATTGCAGTTATTTGTCTTTTATTTTATAGCTTCTGGGCTTATGTCATGTTTAAAGATGTATCCTGGCCAGGTGCAGTGGCTCACACCTGTAATCCCAGCACGCTGGGAGGCTGAGGCGGGCAGATCACGAGGTCAGGAGATCGAGACCATCCTGGCCAACATGGTGAAACCCCGTCTCTACTAAAATATAAAAAAATTAGCCGGGCATGGTGGTGCTCGCCTGTAGTCCCAGCTACTCAGGAGGCTGAGGCAGGAGAATCGCTTGAACCCAGGAGGTGGAGGTTGCAGTGAGCCGAGATGGTGCCACTACACTCCAGCCTGGGTGGCACAGCAAGACTCCATCTCAAAAAAAAAAAAAAAAAGATGTATCCCTGGCCACTGTGTTATACATGAACATGCTGTCTCCAGAATATTCTTCTATCTGAATTGCTTGGTCTTACATTTTGCTTATGACTCAAGTATTTTTCTTGTATAGTTTTTTTTAATTAGCATTTTTAACGTGTCTGAAATGAAGTAAGCGTCCAATTTTATCTCATCCCCAATTTCTTAGACTTCTCTCAAGCCACTAAAATTTGGTTTATGTAAATGAAAAGGAAATGTCTGTATAGTTTTCTTGTTTATTTCTTTCCAACTTCTGCTTTCTACATCGCCTTCCTTCCCGTCTTTTCCTCATTCTTGATCTGTGTTTGACACTGTTCCCTTTCTTCTGCTCTTGCGTCAAGGCATAGAACCTCACTAAACACAGCAAAGCTGTAGCATCAATAACAATAGTAAATACTTACATTTATGGGATCTTTTGCTCTGCGTGCTGGGCCCTGCTCTAGGCGCTTGGCAGGTTTTAAGTCATGTGATTGTCATAGCAGCTCTGTGGCATAGGTAGGGTTAACAGACCAGTCTTTAGAGGCCAGAGGTAAAGCCACGTGCACGGGTCACCTCGCTCTGGCTCAGGCTCAGCAGCCCTGACGGAGTCTGACCCCAACCCAGGTCTTAACCACTGGGCTCCAGAACCACATCACTCCTGCAGGGAACACAAGGCTGGCCCCTCGCCTTTCTCCACGTAGTGTTTTGGGACCCCTGCCCCTCTCTGTTTAGCACCTCCCCAGTGAGGACGGAGCTCCTTTAGAGACCCTGGGGCGTTTCATCAAGACTGTCTTCCCTGGTGTCTGAAAAGCTGCCCACGAAGCCACAGAGCTGAGCTGTGGCTGGGGCTACGGGGTCATACAAGGATCCCTGAGCTGCTTCCTCATTCTGCTGCCCTTGGGGCCACGCTGGATCATTCCCCAGACATTGAAAGCCCCGTGCTAAAACCAGGATTTCTCCGCTCATCTCATCTGGAGGCCCCTCCTGTAAGGAGGCCCCAGGGACAGCTGCCTGGCACGCCTGGCGCCTCCAGGAACTCTGTATGAACACCGTTCTTTCAAGAGGGGGCCGCTGCACCCCTCCACGAGAGTCCCGGGGCTGGTGGGGGCTCGGGTCCCTCAGGCAGATCCAGGCCCGCACCCCCATCTGCAGCTCTCCCCCCAGCCTCTTCCCTCAGCGTCGTCCTTCCCCTCAACTGAATCCCAATGGGCTGTCATGATCAGCGCTCTCCACACAGGCTTATGTTTCGGTTTGAAGTCTTCTCTGCTTCTAAAACCTATTTGATACAAACCCCGCCTTGACCTTCTCTTATAATTCAAATCCCTAGACTCAGTACCTGTCTTCATTTAAAAAAATAACTTGTTAGAGTGCCTATGAGCAAGCCACCTGCCCAGTGCGGAGTAAAGAAATATTTATTTTGATGAAATGTGTATGCAAGTTGATAAGCTGATTTGACATCTAAGAAGTGTTTTTTTTTTAAATTCCCTTCCATCTGGGTTTTTTTTTTTTTTCTATCACAATTCTATGTCTCCCAAGGTGTGAAATGCAGGAGATGTCACTAAGGGTCTCTGTGCCTTGCCTCATGCAACACTTTTTTTTTTTTTTTGATCTAGTCTCTTTCATAATTCAGCAGATATTCATTGAGCATTTACTATACGCTAAGCATTATTCTAGGTGTGGTGAGTGCAGAAGTGAACAGAAAGACAAAATCTCAGCTTTCATCTAAGAAGATAAGCCCGTAAATAATTACATACATTTATAAATCAATATAGTGAAAATAAAGCTCAGCGGATACACACTGGTAGGGTGGAGAATGCTATTGGTGTGGGGGTTTGTCAGGGAAAGGCTCTCCGAAAAGAAGGTGTCTGCATAACCAGTGATGGCAGTGGGAGGGTGGCCCCTGGGGTGCCTGAGGGAAGAGTGTGCGCTTGTGCTGAGTGTGCCTGCACAAAATGCAGGAAGCCAGCGCTGGGTGTGTGAGCAGGAAGGTGGCAGGGGCAGGGGATCTACCCTACAGGAGCTGGTGCTGGAGAACACAGGGCTCATGGCCATGGTGAGGACTTCGGATTTCACCTTGCATGATACAGGGAGGCAATGGAGAGTTTGATCAGGGCTTCCAATGATATTGTGTGTGTGTGTGTGTGTGTGTGTGTGTGTGTGTGCGTGCATTGCAGGATCAAGGTGGCTGCTTTACAGAGACCAGGCTGTGTGTGAGAGAGTAGAAGTGGGGAGAAATGTAAAAGCCCATGGGAGATGATGGGGTTCCTGTTCTTGGTCAGAGGCTCCTCTGTCCACACAAGCATCCACCATGGATCTGTAGGAGTCATCTTGCCATCCTCCCCGTCCCTCCCCACATGCCCCAACTCTTCCCTCTTCAGAAGGGGACTGATCATTACTGGACCTCTGGGTGTTGTGCTTGGGTTCAGACCAAGCTCTGCCCCCAACTGGCTGGGTAATATAGTGCAGGGTTCTGGACCGCTCTGAGCCAAGGCTTCCGCATCTGGAGGGCAGGGAGGAGAGAAGCAGTGCTCACCTCCCAGAAAAGAATTGATTTTGTGAGCACAGACAGCACGTTGCCTAAAACTGAACATACAGATGTTGAATGAGTGTCAGTGACGAGCTAAAGGCCTCATGTACTGAGAATGATGCAACTGTTATTTAAAGTACTATTAAAGTATTTCCAACTCCTGATCATCTCACCTTTTAAATGTCTTTCACTATTATCTGCGGCAAGTGGCTTCATCCCAGTCCTACTGCACTGGTCAGGTCTTCCTCATTTCCTAGAAAGTTCTCCCTGCATCCTTCTCACATTCCTCAGGCCATTATCCAGTGTGTCCCCAGAAGGGAATGTTTCCAAGGCATACCCCTCATTGTGTCACTTCCCTATTGACCATACATCAGTGGTTTCCTTTCGCCTTCAGGATGGACCCCAACTCCTCCTTGCAAGGGGCCTTCCATGACTGTGCTGTGTCCTGCCAGTCTGTCTCTGTACATTCAGCTCTCTCTGCCGTGGGGCAACTGTTCCTTCGTGTACAAGGCTGAAGCTAACAGAGTGTTCAGGACTCAGCTCCGGTATCTGCAGGGAAGCCTTCCCTGCCCACTGTCTCTGCCACACCTGCTTCCACCACACACACACATACCCACCCACCCAAAACAATGCACATAAACACACACCACATATGCAAACACACAAAATACACACACACACTAAAATACAAACACACACCACAGAAACACATAAACACAAACACACTTTCACAGAGAAACACACACAGTCACAAACACAGATACCACACACACAAACACACACCAAACTCAGAAAGACACACATGTACAGCACACACACAGGCACACACACACCACACCAGCTAGTTGAATTAGATGTGTCAACTCCCGATTATATAATTTATCTTATCAAATTGTTGTCACTATTATTTGAATTTCCCACTTGATTGAGGTTAGTAGATACTGTGTTTTGGTCTTTTTTTTTTTCTTTTTTTCCACACAGTAAGGCATGTAAAGTACATAAGGCTTAAGTGTACAGCGTGGCAAATTTTCCATGTGTATTTTCCTGTGTGGTGTTTACCCACACCCAGACGGAGAACATTTCAAGCAGCCCAGAGGCTCCCCGGTGCCCAACCCGGTTCATCCTCATCCATCTTTAGCCCCCACAGGGACTACTATAACAACTTGTAGATAACAGACTTATGCCAAATATTTGTTGAAGGACTCAATCAGTTCATTGGAGGAAGAAATGGGTGGGTCGCTGCTGACATTCTTGATCATCTCTGCCGTTTGCAGTTCTGAGACCAGAGGTGTGGCAGTGTCTGGTTTCAATGAATCAAAACACCCTATAGCCAGAGTGAGGCTTTGCCAAGTAATGTGTTTCCTCAAAATGTTTCTATAGGTTCAGTTGTAGGCTGTTATGACATCATGTAGTGGTTATCTGTGTAACCTTCTCAGAGCCAACTCCCATATCTCATTGAATCCTCTCAACAATCTTCTAAGATCGGAAGGGTGGGTATGATTACTCAATTTTCCACGAGAAGAAACTGAGACTCCAAGTAAAGTCTGAGCTCCTTCTCTGCACAGGGAAGCACCATGATGGTCCCTGATGCACACGGCTCAAGAGAGTTATAAAGCAAGATGCTGGTGTCCTCACCCAAATCTACAGAAACCCTTCTCTGCCCCTTGCCATTTGACTTCAGGCATCTTGATCCTGTTGGGGTTTAACTGTATTCCCTTCTCTCCAAAAGATAGGGTGCAATCCTAACCCACAGTGCCTCAGAGTGGGACCCTATTTGAAAGTAGGGACATCAAAGGTTGCAAATGTAATAAGTTGAAATGAGATCATACTGGAGTAGGGTGAGTCTCTATTCTAACATAACCACCATTCTTGTAAGAAGAGTAGAGACGCCCAGACACTTGCAGGGATAAAGAAAGCCATGTGAAGACAGAAGGTGAGATCAGAAAGATGCAGCTGCAAGTCAAAGAGTGCCAAGGATGGCAGCAACCACTAGAGGCTGGATGAGAAAAGGGGAAGCTCTCCTGCAGGTTGCAGAAGAGGAGGTTCCTACCAACACCTTGGTTTTGGACTTTTAGCATTCCAAATTCTAAGACAATAGGTTCCTGTTGTTTTAAGTCACCCAGTTTGGGGACGTTTGTTTCAGCAGCCCTAGGCAACTAATGCAGGTCCCCCATGGGAAACTCCTTATTGCCTTGATCAGAATGAACCCCACAGGTCCAGCAGGACTGAGGCTTCCCACGGTGGAGACCTTACTGCCTAAAATGCCCTCCTTGCTCATCCCTGGCAACATTCAACCCCCAACCCTTCCTTTAGCACAAGGCTCAAAGGCCATTGCTTCATATATGCTCTTCCTGGTTCTCCAACAGAAAACAGAGGAGTAACAGATGCTATACTTGGATGATGTAACCTGGATGATGTAACTCCTCAAATGTGCATTGTTCCTTATTTAGCATCAGTCAAGTGAGCACCAAGGTGGCCTCTTTGACTTTACCTTTCTTCCCCTAGGATGGCTGACCCAGAGCTGCAGGAAGACAGAACTGGGGAAGGGAAAAGTCTGGATGGAATTGTTTCAGGTCAAAGGTTGATCTTCCAGAGGCTACACTGATTAGGAATACAAAAGGAGGAATCACTGGAAACCTAAGGTATTTTATAAAGTTAACTTTTCCAGATGTTTATACTCTCAGGGCAGAATCCCCTGTCCTTGACTCAGTTTTGCATGTTGACATCTTAACTGAATTTGAAAGCTCAACGTTCTTGCCATTTCCTCTGAGACTTCTATATGAAGTACAGTACTCACTTTCCCTCCTAAATTACCATGGCGCTTTATGTGTACACATGTGTGCATATCTGAGGACAGGCTCCGCCTTCTACCTGCATTAGAGATCTCCATTCCAGCCCACAAATACTTACCGAGCATGTACTTGGGCCAGGCCATGAGGATACCTTCCTGAACAGGAAAGAGTGTCTGGTCTCATGGAACTCACAGTTTAGTGAGAAATAAGTATGTTTCTTACTGAAGTCTATTACGTAAATACATTTGAAAAGACACTGGTGCATGTGTTAGGCCCATTCAAGGTCCTTCACCCATTCACCCTGTGGCAGATGCATTAATAGACAACCACGGAGAGGTGCACTCACACGGGGTCCCATCTGGTCCCAGGCAAAGAAGGGCCTGCACTTGGGGTTGAATTCTCTGTAGTCACCATCTTGAAATGTTTAATGATATCACCTCTGTTTTACCTTTTCTAAATCCAATGGGACAATGGAGCATGAAGAGGGCTTGGAGCCTTGGCTTCTGTACCATCCTGCTACCTGCCACCTGCCACCTCTCCTTTGGGAGAGGTTCTTGGCTGTCCACTTCCCAACCCCATGTTCCCCCAGCTCTTGAGCAGCCTCTGCCCCTGCAATTGTTGCTGCTTCCCAACAGGGTGGCAACTGCATCATTTTGGAACAGCAAGCCTGTGTTCTGCCACCACCTGCCATCTCTGGTGAGTGTATGGGCATGTGTGCAGGACAAGCACTGTGCAGGAGTTCAGAGAAAGGCCTCGCAGTGACCATCCCCTCAGCAGGCTGGCAGTGCCAGGGCACATTCCACAAGTGGCCAGAGGCTTGTGCCCACCTCCAATCCAGATACCCAGAGCTTCCCAGCATGGAGGTTGCAATCCCTGAGGGATCTCCTGTCCACTGTACATTGGGACAGTGGGCTGTGGGAGAGAGACAGTGGCTTCCCCACCCCCTAACTGTGGCTGGCCACAGCATGTGGGTGCAGCCAAGGGCAGGGAAGCAACTGGCAAGTGGAAGCCTCTTGTACTGCACTGAGTCACCTGGAAGGTCTGTGGGGTCTGTACAGGGGTGCATTCCCACGCCCAAGGAAGAGCAGCATGTAGCAGAAAACACCATGACTGGTTGAGAGAGGCAGGAAGAAAGGAGGAAGTGTTCTGTTTTAGCACTTGTTATGGTGCTTCTTTTTCATTTTGAGAAAGGAGCTCTCCATTTTCATTTTATAGTGGACCCCACAAATCATGTTTCCAGCCCTGCTCCCAAACTCAGTAACAGTTAACCACAGCCATCGCTAACTACAGTGACCATGTGCTGTCAACGGATGGAAAGATCTTCACACCTCTGTGAGTTAAGAACTGTGATAATTTCCAGTCTGCATATGAGGAAATTGAGGCTCGAGTCACATGCAGAAGCCCCACATCGGGGTAGTGGAGGAGCTGCAATTCGACCCTGGGTTTCCCTGACCCCAGTGCCTGGGCACCCTTGCAGGTGGCTAGTGTGCAAGTAAGAATTAATGAATAGGTCAACCAGCCAGATGCAGGGACAGAATCAGGCCCATCCCCTGCCTTCCTGGGTTGCATTTGGGAAGGACCAGGGACTGAGCACCCAGCATTTGCAAAGCCAGAGGATGCTGGTTCTGGTGCGTGGTACTGGGGGCTGGGCCTGCGCAGCCTGAGTGGGCGGCAGCACGTGATCACCTGCAGCTGCAGAGCCGTGGTGAGCCAGGCAGCATCACCGGCTCAGCTGACCCTTCCTGGTACACAGGGCCTGGCCATCTTGTGCCCAACCCTGGTAAAGCACCATTTTGTTTCTGCCTCACCATTTGCTTCTCCTGTGTTTTGTGAGCTGTCTGAGATGTGCATCATTCTTCTGTATTTGGAGGGGGACATGGAGCCCAGTTAGGATACCTAGTGCCTAGGAAAAAGCCTACTCAATTTCCCTTGAAAATGTCTCCCTTGACCCCCACCGAATGCTTTTTTTCAGTCCTGATTGTCCTGACTGTGAGCATTCCATCCTGGCTTCTACACTGGGGTGCATTCCAGCCCTGTCGGTCATTATATTGCAAAGTGATGGATAGATGTACGCCCTTGTGAGAGCTTTAATTTAAATATTATCATGACTTCAAGAATCATACAGAACATTCAGGAAATGTTAACATATTGACTTTTCACAGAAACGTGAAAGGGGCTATATGTTTGGGATTACTCAAATTATCAGCAATTTCAATCAGCTTTTTTATGCGCCATTCAGAGAGCAAAATTAGAAGTGCTTGTGTTTGCATTCTACCATGTATTCAAGATAATTAAAAATTAGCCCGTGAAATCATAGAGATCTTTACAGTAGCAGCAAGGATTTGGAAGGAGCATTTCCCTCTAAGCAAATGAACTGGACTTTTCTGAGAGTAAATACGGAATCGGAATCCAGCTGCACATTTTATTAAAACTACGAGCATTTCATGTTCACCTCTCCGTGGCTGGCCACCTTCCGCAATAGTCACCCCGGCCATCCCTTATTAGCAACCGGCAGGAAAATAACTAAAAATAAGCAGCTGTTGAAATGATTATTTAAGCCTCTAAGAAATTCCTCCTGATGACTGTGCGTGACTGTGCGGTGGCTGCGCTCTCCCCGGTCCTGCCTCAGTTCGGCTGCACGTCTCTGCTGCTGCTTTAAGACTGCAGAGCGCCCCAGCGGCCAGAGGCAGGGGAGGGGTCCCTGCTCGCCTCCGCGCTCGGCTTCACTCGCCCGGCTCGCAGGCAGGGAAGGTTGGCAGAGGGATCCATGTGACTGAGGCCGGAGCACGGCAAAGATGAGCCTGCCCGCCCGCCTGCTGCCTGGATGCGGAGGGTGAGGGCTGGCGCACGGGAGGCCGCTGGCTGCGCATTCTGGGCGCCGAGTGCCCGGGATGAGCTCACGCCCGCGTCTGCGGCTCTCTCCACCTGCCGACCTGCCGGGGGCCCACTGAGCTGACGGCGCACCTGGGCTCCGGCCGCAGCGTGGGGCGCGGCGCCCGGGAGCAGGTGTGCAGGAGCGCAGCGCGCGGCGAGCGCAGCCCTCGCTCCGGAGCCCGGCCGCGCCGCGTGCCCGGGCGGCTAGGCAGCGGCGGCGGCGGCGGCGGGCGGCGGGCGGGCGGCGGCCCCCGGGCAGGTGCCGAGCGGCGAGCGGAGCCGGGCCGGGCGGAGCGCGGGGGGCGAGGCCGGCGCGTCGCTCGCGGGAGGCCGGGGAGCGGCAGGGGCATGTGGATACTGGCTCTCTCCTTGTTCCAGAGCTTCGCGAATGGTGAGCCTTTCGGTTTGTGATGAATTTCGTTTCCTTATCATTGACCGGGGGGGCGGGGGGGTGGGGGGTGGCATTGGATGCATGGGTAAAGTCTTCTTTCTTTTTCCGCTTCATCTGTGTTTAAAATTTCGTGCTTTTATTTATTTTTTAAATATCATATTTATTTTTTGGGGGAGAAGAGGTGGCAATGGAGAGGCCCGGGAGAAATTGCTCTGTAATCATTGGAAGGCGCTTACCTAGCCAAGTGACAGCTCAGAGCCTAACTCCAGTACTAGAGAGCTGCCTCATTCAGAATAAACCAGGTTTGGTGACAGAAGGAGAGACAGGAAGATTGCCACTTTGAATATTACAACCTGGAAAGGGATGTGACATTCCAAGTGCACGCAAGTGGAGGGGTCAATGAGGAACATCTCCCTTCAGATTCAATGCTTTTTGAGATTTTTCAAACACGTAATTTCATGCTAGTACAATGTATCTCCAGCACCAAGGAGGGCTTTAAGAATGTTCTGTCCTTCTATGCACCCCGTGCTGCTTCATGCTCCTCACAGTCGTTTATGTAAAAATATGCACTGATAAGCATTACATCATCTGAAATGTTGACAAATTAAAAAAAAAAAAACACCTGTATAGTTGTAAAAATGAAATCAGTGAATATTGTAAATAGCATACATTTCCTCATGCCCAGCCAATATTATATTTTGAAATGATTTCTTCCTGGGTATTTAGAAAGCTATTGCTCTTGACTGAGTCAGACCCAATTAGTAAGTGTGACTGCACCTTAGGCTGCCTGTCACCGCATAAATATGAACTTACATGTATGAATGGCTTCCTCTCTTGTGGGAACCAGAGGAAATTGTCATCATTTGACATCGCCTGGGAGTAGCTACGGCTTAAATTCCCATTTCAAATTTTGGAACACACATCTGCATAAAATGTATAACCTACTGACAGTTGAAATTAAACCATTAAGCAGAATCCCCTAGCCAGAAGAGAGGAGAGAGAGAGAGAGAAAGAGAGGAGGGAGAGAGAGCGAGACAGACACAGAGACAGAGAGAGAGAGAGAGAGAGAGAGAGAGAGGAGAAGAAGAGAAGGTAAAAGAAGAGAAGAGAGGAAATCTGGCCCTTGTGAGAAAATACGAGAAGCAAAGGGGAGGCTCTAAGATTTTCCTGGAAGACACACAGGGAAGCTCTGTGTGTTGGCTGCAAGGCAGTGCATTTTCTTTGCCTACCTAGACAGTGCCTAAAGAATCAGCATACCAACAGGCCAGAAGAAATGCATGAGCATTGTCAATTTTTTAAAAAAACGGTGACTAAGAAAAGGTAGAGTTGAAAGAAGGTACTATCAAAATGAACATGAAAATGATACTTTGCTCTCCAGTATAACCTAAAGCAAAGTGTTTGAAACTTTCATTTTGAGATTTCCTAGCAGGAAAGAATTGCAACAAGTTCTGACAAGACACCCATCTTTCCCAGAGGGCACCATACCTGTCCTGTGTCCTCCTGGGAATTTCCCTTCAGGGACAGATGTGCTTAGGGAACATGCGGAGATGTGTCGGGGAAGTCAGCCCTTTCTGCTCTTCTGCTAATGCGACCTCCTAAGAAATGTAGAGATGCCTACACATGTGTTCCAAAGACACAGAGCCTTGACACCCTGTTTCGCCTGTCAGGGAGTACCTTTCTGAACTCCTTGGAAAGGCCTGGGTTATAAGAAGAAACAAAATTTGCACCCCATTGGGAAGTGTGTGTTTCAGGATGATGAAAGAGGCTGTGCTGGTTGTCAGTCAGCCAGTATTTATTTACAGTTTTAGCATTTTGTATGACAAAATGGTATGGAAGAATTTATGATACTGATACAGACTATTAGCCTCTGATACAGAGATGCTATATGTGTGTGTGACTTTTTTTCTGAATCAGCATTTTATAACTAAAATAAACAATCATAGAAATAATTATATATGGTAATACAATTATATGAAACCTCAAATATTCTGCAATATGAAAAATATATGCAAAAATTATGTAGGTACTCATATAGTGAGTTCTGCAAGTATTATTTTCAAGACTTTTAAAATCAACTGATAATCACCATTATTGTAATAAATATAGGTAGATTCCACAATATTAGACATAAACAGCAAACACAAATGAATATTTTACATTGCTGTATTACGTATTCTGATCCAATCTAGCAGAAGGCTATGGAACTGTCTTGTATAAAAATGCCCCTCTCTTTATATGATCAAGGATGAAAACATTAAAAGCCTGCTGTAAAGCTTTAGGATCTTTGAAGGGGGGAGGGGAAATCAGCTTTAAACAGTTTTCTAAGGTATGGTGTTCATTACATACTGGGGAAAGGATCATAAAATATATAGACATGTTGAAATAAAATAAGAATCCAGTTTGGAACTATGCCTGTTTGTAAGACCATATTTCAAAAATATAAGAGTAAATGGTTTCTACCTATCTGAATTAAACTTTAAAAAATTGAGAATATTTTTGTCAACAACTGTCATATTTTGTTATACCTCAACTTTGAAAAATTTCTGAATGTGTGTGATAAAAGATTGATGAATTCTAATACCTAAACTGATTATTGCTAGGCCTCAAGCATCAAAATGCCTGACATGATAACTTTTTTTTTTCATTTGTAAAAGATTATGTAGTTTAATATTTGGGGCTATTAAAATAAGCCCACAATACATCTGCATTTTAACAGTAGACAACAATATTTTTCTTATTGATGTATCAGAAGTACAGTTATTTCTTAATAAAAGTATGGTTGCTAGACAGGCTGCAGGCAGTATTTTTGAAAAAAAAAAAAAAAAAAAGAAGAAGTCAGTGACCAGGCCCTTCATAGGTTAAACCCTTAAATGAATGACCTCACCTGATGAGGTGCAGTATCGTGTTTTAAAGCAGTCAATTTGTTCTGCAATGTTCTGGAAATACACGCGAGCTTCTGTTACAGTGCAAGGAGCCAAGGTACACGTATGTGCAGACACTCACCCACACACGTCCCTCGGTGTCTTCTCAGCAAAGCTTCCTACTGCATTGTGTTTCATTACCATTTCTCCTGGTTTTAACCCCAGAGCACATTCTAGTTTAAAATTATTGCTAAAAGAAGAGCCAGGCCTTCAGACAAACAGAATGATGAAGAATTAGATTTATTATATGTAATATAGTTTTGCTAGTATCCTGGCATCTCTGTTTTTACACACACACACACACACACACACACACACACACACACACATGCATGCATTCCTGACATCATCTTTTCCTGAGCTGTGGGATTTTCAGTTCTACTGCATCCGCTTTCATGGGGCCTGAGGGTCATGGAGATTAGAGACGGTGGGGTGCTGGGAGTAAGAAGGTGCTCATTAAAGAGAAGATGAGTATGCAGCACCTTTGAGCTTCATCCATTCACTTGATAGGAAATTACAGAGCACACGCTTGCTATTTTATTTAATTAGAAGCAGACCTTTGTAAATACAAATGCACCTTAAGGACTTCAAAGGTGATTTTTATTTAATTCACATAAATGTATGTAAGGAAGAAATGTTATCAGGTGAACAATTTCAGGGCTGCCTCCACTTCCCTTTCTCCCCCATCTTTATTAAACAGATTAAAAAGCTATCCATAATCTCAGGGTTCACCTAAATTCCGAGGCCTTTTAACTTAAGCTGCATGCCCCTCCAAGATGCCCTCTGTAGGAAAACAAAATGCCACGCAGACCTTCAATAAATGCCAGTGGATCGTTCTCCACTTTTTGACTCTCTCCTTTGTCATTTTGGTGTGACCACGGTTTGCTGCCTCGGGGGATCAGTGAGTCACGGGGGGCAGAACCAGCGCAATACAGCATTCTGGTAGGGGAACTAATTTTGACTAAAATATTTGCCAATTCTAATCCCCAATTCCTGGACCTCCGGGTAGCTGGCAAGGTATTTTATGTTAGATGTGTCTGGAGTAAGGTGCACGGAGTATTTCGACAAGAGACTCAATTCAATGCGTATTAAAACTTGATTGAGAGAGGGAGAGAGAGAGGTCATTTTATAAAGAAAGACCTGTGAACACTGTAGATTGGAAATTTATGTTTGCAAAATAAAAGGATGGGTTTATCAAGTGGATGCATTTACAAAATGTGGCATCCAGGTTTCGTAAAATTAGCTGAATTCTACGGGTAAGATTATGAATGTGGCTCATAAATAATTAATAGGTAGTGAAAAAGAATGTATTTTGCATTAGGCAGTGCATTCAATAGTATTTCGGAAATGAGCACTTCGATTTCCTCGGTTTCCATGCGTGGCCCACCTCTCCAGAGCAGGGCAGGCACCCAGGGGTGTGCCCACACAAACAAGCGCGTGTGGGCATTTTCTTGGCTGCTGCGCTGAAGTGCACGCTGGGCCTTGGTGCCCGCACCCTCAGCCTGGGAGATAGGGAGGTGGTGCTACCTGCAGGCCGATTGTGTCCCCGCCATAGGACACTAGTGGGCGGCAAACCTCACAAGACTCTTGCAGCCAGCCTTCAGCAGAGCCAGCAAACCCAGCCGCCACCGAGGGAGGACTGCTCCATGCAGATGGTCAGGGGCTTTCTTCTGAAGACGCCTCCCCCACGATCTCTCAAGTTCACTGCGCCCAAACTCCGGCGTCGTAGAGTTCGTCTAACAGGAACCGGGCAAAGGCAACCGCAGGTCAGGCGAGGTCCAGCAGCCTTTGTTTTCAACTGTACAGCGGAGGACCGTATTCACAGCAATATCTAGAAACCTAGAAGGTGCCCAGAAAGGAAACACAGGTGTTGCAGCGGGTAGCGGGCCCGCAGAAGGGTGCATTTGCACCCCCTTTCCAAAGCCGCGAGGGAACCCCGGCGTGGCGCGCGCCTCGGAGGTGGCAGCTCCGGGAGCAGCTCCGCGCCTGATTGGCTGACCTTCCAATGTCATTCCAGGAGCCGCCGCTTCTCCTGCTGATGGTGACAGGGGTGATGCTGACGTGCCCGCTCCTCCGCAGTCCATCAATCTCCGCAGGCAAGGCTCCGGGACCGGGAGCCCCCTTCCCTCTCCCCCAGGCCCACTGGAAAACACCTGTTCCCCTGGACTGGGGGGTTAACTCTTCAAGTTCCAAAGACCTGGGCACAAAAATGCTCATCTTATCTCTCCGCGCCCCTCCCCCCAACTATATTTATGTTCTTTTCTTCAATGTTGTGAAAATGCCAGAAAATTCAAAGTTGCATTTCCCTTGCCGAATCTATGGGTTAAGATAAGGCAGTGGGAATGGAAGATTCCAGCAGCCCCACGGAGTATCCACTATGTCGTTCTGAATTCAAAGGGTGGAGCACACGGATGTTTTCTGCAGGTGACGCAAGGTCTGTCAAGGTGGCAGGAGGGAAGCAGGGACAGGATTTTGGTTCAGAGGTCAGACAGCTTCTGACCAGGACGTTCAGAAGGGTTGGGTTTCACAAATCTGCTCCTGAAAATCAGTTCCCTCCATATTATCCTTTTTCTAAAAATCTTGGCTGTTTCCTTGATGGAGTCTGTGGTAATCGTTACGCCTGCATTTAGGTGATGCTGATTTGGCTAGTGACTGCCTCTCTCACTAGCTAGACAGGAGCCTCCATAGTCTGAAATGCGTGCGAAGCCTGAGCGTGTCCTTAGCACAGAGCAGAGCACATGGTATGGAGTAGTGGAAATAGATGATGTTCCTTACGGAGTGAAAGGAAAAAGTGATAGGCAGAGCCTTTCTCCCCTCCTTAACTCCTGTCCACCTTCCTCCCTCCCGTCCACCTCTCTCTTCTGCCTCTAGCTGATTGGCTCCCCCTCTTAGTTTGCTTTCCTGGACTTGCTCTCCTGGTCCCTATCTTGCATTCTGACTAAACCACTGGACTCTTTTGCTCTACCCACCTTTTTCTGTCGTAGTGACTCAATCACGGTAGAAATGTTTATTTTCCAGAAACGCCTGTGGCTTGGGGCATTTTCTTCTCTTTTCAAAAAGAGATTCATATTTCGAGTATCTGATGGGACTTCATCACTGTTGCACAACAGCTATGTAATTGCTTTAGGTGCTCTTCCTGCCGTGCAGTGGGTCAAGTGTCACAGACAATAATTTCATCCATGTGCTGGACCCCTTGTTCTCAAGTGTACGCTGCTAAATGGCATGATTTAAAATTCCTATACAGTGTTTATTGCCCTGTCGCATTTTGAAAGCCAGCCAGAAACATCAAACCGACATTTAGGTTCCCCGCCCACTCCGCCACCCCCAGCTCTTGGGAATTCATTTCTTCATCAAAGAGCCACCCAGGACATCAAAACAAAGCTTACTTTCTCAGGCCTTAATTCATCTTTAAAAAGTCATACTACTGTTTTCTTCAGCATCCTATGGATTTATGGGTTTTTTGTCATTATCTTTATTTCTTATTTTGCAGATTCAAATATGACAGTTGCTATCTTCATCAAAGTAACATGAAAGGATATCTTAATCATTGTTAAAGTTGATTTTTGTCCAAATATAAAAATCAAATTAAGTGTCTTATAGCTTACAATATTTATCAGCTTTTGATTTTTGGACATCTCTATTTGTTCTATGTGATCAACGCTGATTTTTTAAAAATCATGCAACTGGATTAATTTTTGATCTTGAAGCCCCCTGGATTATGTAAATACATATTATGGTTTAACAGAGAGGGATGAATGGGATTGAGAAGATATATGTCAAGATATGAAGAAGGAAAGAGGCTACTACACAGAGAGTTAGAATGACAGGGATTAATGAATCTTGCCTGTATCCCTAGTTATTTTTTTTACTGAGAAGACAGTGAGTAAGATTTAAGAGTGAGCAAGCAGTCCTATTTATAGAAAGCTGTTTTTAAGTGCAGCCGCAAAGACAGTGAAAGAAAGAATTGAAAATGCAAGAGATCACCTCCATACTAAATGCTAGCTTCCCCTAACGTCCCAGCTCTGTACAGCATTTTGTAGGAGAAAAAAACAAAAAAAAAAGCATACCAACCCTTGCAGAAATATTATGAAATCTCTTTGGACTCTCTGCAGAATATTCTAGAAGTGCTCTCAGTCTTTAAGTCTATGTTAGGCTTGGGAAGCTGGGGATGAGAAGGCAATATATATATTATCTGGAAACAGCTTGAGTAGGTCTGAACAAAAGACTGGAGGTGAAGGGAGGACATTGAACTTGCAGCACTGCTACAAATATTTATTCTGCAATAAGCCTTGCCTTTCTTAAAGATGTTTCACGGCAGAATAGTAGGAGGGTGAAATCTGCATACATCTCAGTAATAAAGCAATTACTGAGAGAAGAGTTCAAATTTAGGATCCTGTGATTATCACAAGTCCCTCCATGTT
Organism: Homo sapiens; assembly: GCF_000001405.40. NCBI lineage: Eukaryota > Metazoa > Chordata > Mammalia > Primates > Hominidae > Homo > Homo sapiens. The sequence goes on along the minus strand of NW_025791814.1, from coordinate 978,930 downwards.
AACCTGTTCTCAAACTCTGGGGTTTTAAATTGCAATATATGAAGTCCTTATTTGTCAGTCTGTGTCGGGCAGACAATATCACCCCAGGCTTTGTGATTGACACAAATGTTATTGGACAAGGGAAAAAGAATGCCACATGCTCTTATAAATGAAATAGTCTTTATAAGATTCCATATATAAGTGAGATCATGGATTTTGTATGTGTGTGTCTGGCATATATCACTTAGCTAATGTCCCCCAGGTTCCTTAAGTATATACAATTTAGCATAAAAAAAGAAATGAAATAGTTTTCCTTTCTAGGCCTGTATTTGTTACTTATAGCATTCTGGTTTTCCTGGTTCCAAGTGGGCTTTGGGTTTTATTAATAGTAGAATCGTTGAATTTTTATGCAAATACTGCTGATTTACAGGTTGGAAATCTGGACAAAATCAGACCTGCCCTAGAAGATGATGCTGTGGAAAGTGTTTGCCTTTTGTCTTATAAAGAACCATCTATAAAATGGATCATTTTGTCGCTAGTCTCTCCAGACTATGAAATTGGCATTTTGATAAGGTGATGGAAAGAAATTTGAACTATTTAATTACTGATTTTGATTCATACAAGCCTTGACTCTTTTAGTATTAAAATGAAGAAACAGGAAACAGTTTTAAGTCTGGTTTTACATAAAATTTACACTTTTTTCACACTGAAAATAAAACAGTAAAAGCCAGCTTATAGTTCTTTCTAAATATCCCAACTTTCTCATTATTGGATGCTTCTGCAAAACAGCAGTATGGTGATACCACTCCCAGTGTTGACCTTGATGACCTGAGGGTCCCAAAGTGGCTTCAGCATTATCATGGAGTCACCACAATGATCAGGTAGAAGCTGGTGTTAGGACCAGCGTGAATGGGTCACAGGGGCTGAGGGGGGCTGTTGGGAGGTAGCCCATGCCGTATACTGAAGAGCCATCCATGCCACTTCAGGTGGGTGATTGCAGTGGACTCTCTTACCATTGATTAATCTTCCTAATATTGAGTAAAGCATTGATTCTTCTCATAAGCATGAACTGCTGGATGATGGGAACATTTCTGTGATTGTATCATAAGAGAAAGACAAGTAGAAAGATAATTAGAACTGCTGCAATTCTATGTATATTTTAATTTAATTTATTTTTTTAAATACAAAAGACAGCTATATTTCCTATATAATAAGGAAACTTATTACTTTAAGGAAATATACTTTCTCACGAGAGAAACTCAAGATTCAATTCTTTTCACAGTTAGCCCCGCTGTGGTGTGATTTGATCTTGGGTTCCATAGAGATACAGAAAATCCAAGTCCCAGTCTGCTTAATTGCCATGTTTATTTTTTAATCTCGGCTGTAGAGCATTTTTAATAACTGATATGTAGCTTGCAGGGTAGAAATAACAATGCTTTGGAATATTACCTGTGAGACTTTAGGAATGAGCTGAAGACACCCAACAATGACAACAATGGCCTCTACCAGCAAAACGGGAACCATGACTACTTTATCACTCCTGCCGGATCTAGTTCTTGTCAGTTCCTGCAAAGGCTAGTCACTTGTCTATTTCGTTGGCTAGTGAAAAGGAAATGCACAAGAAATGTGGAATGCTGTCTAACAGACAGAATCCTCCTTTCACAAGTTGTTTAAGTTGGCAGCCCAAGTTAGCAACCTCTATCCGGGTCCTTAACGTGACAGCAGAATGTGGGTAGGATGGTTAATTACCAGATGTGTCTGTTATGACTCACCCAAATCAATAGCTATTAAATCCTTGGTGGCTACTGTTTTAGAATAGGCTTCATTGAATATTTGTATAGAAATCTGGGTAGAAAAATGTGGACCTCGAGGTGATCTAGGTATTTGTTTTGGGCAAGGAACTCTCATCAGTGGTTGGTTTATTTGTGTCTTGGGGGATCTCACATCATCAGCCTTTATTAATCACAGGCACGAGGGGCCCCACACTCTCCCCCATACCTCTACCGCCCCATTGCTGAGGATGGGAGAGTAAGAATATAGAATATGCTGTAGGCTTCTGTGGGATTAGATGCTTGGAGGCAGCGGAGGCAAATGTTCATGGGAACACTGAATATGGAGGAAGAGGCTGTGCCAGCCCCATAGCCACACATCCCCTCCACCCTTACATCAGGATAAGAGGTAGACCACAGTCTGTTGACACTTCAAGCTGAACATTAGTTAGTATCCTTCTATGTGGGCCTTCCCAGGTAAGGATCGAGGACACTGGTTCTCAACACCCCGGTGTTCTGGGTCAGGGAGAACAGAGAAAGGAGATATGGAAGTTTCCTGAAATGCATTTCCTCTCATTAGCCTCCTGTTGGAAATTCTGATGCCAGCGTTGTGGGGAATGGGCTGTAGTTTGGAAAGCTCCCCAGGTGTTTCTAATCCCATGTGACTTTGTCTTGTTTTTCCCACCACCACTGGGGTCTCCCAAGTTATGGTTTCCATGTTTGTTATGTCGTCTTCCAGCTCTGATACCAGAGAGTCTGATTCTGTAGCCTTGGTGTATGCACGACCTGTGAATTTGCATTATTAACGCATGCCTTTGCCTGTTCTGATCCACATGAACCATAATTCACCTTTGCAAAACACACACTTGCAAAGAAGCTACCCAAACAGTAGCTAGGAAGTTGATCCAGTAAAGTTCCAAGTACATCTCGATGAACTGTTGGAGAACTCTGTATTGGGTAGTAATTTATTGGGAATGTCTGTATACAGGGTTAGGTCTTCACTGACCACCATAAGAATTTGGGCATCTTTCGGGATAATTGGTGCTGGGGTTTAGTAACAAGAAAGATTCTGAGTAGAGGGGTATGTAGATCCTGCCAGAGGCACTCCCAATGTGGATGCTAGCAGCTTACGAATCATCTGTGTGTATTAATATCTATCTCTTTGCACCATTTTTTCTTCCTGTTAGCGTATTTGATATTCAGGTTTATAAATGCTTGTGCTTTGCTTATGGTCTTGATTCCATTGTATTTCTCACATTGGTCCCTTCTTCGATAGCAGCTGGAGTCCCAGCAGAGAAGCCCTTTGAAACCTGCCTGTAACCATGAAGCTCCAGGCAAGAGATCCATAGTGGGAAACCATTTGGGTAACTCTACTGAACAAGCTTAAGAGATGAGCTAGAACGGGCTGAGACAGGGCAGGAGAGTGGATCTGTTTGCAGCTAGAGGTTTTGCTTTGATGCCGCCTTGGGATGCTGCACATTCCTTTGTCCAGGGCACAAGCTCATTCCAGAGCCAGATCTGAAGGGCTTTGGGTCATTTGCTCTGTTGGATGTTCTTGGCTTTCTTTTAGGTAAATAATCACAAGTTGACTGTATTTACCATACAAAGTATATGTCATTATCCTAAGTTGTCAGAAAAAAGAGAGAAGCTGGCATATAAGGGCATATGTGCATTTTAAACCTTGTTACATATATGACAAAATAGAGGGCAGTTATTGGTGGCAGATTAATTTTTTCAAAACATCGTGTCCTTGATTTTGGCACTAAAATAGACTCAAATGTGTGCTGGAGAGAGGCCTAAATTCAGAACCTTAAAAATACCTTTTTGTGTCCTGAGATCTTATTTTAGATAATATTAAAAATAACTTTCCCTCCTAGGCATCTTAAACAAGTTTGATGTTATAATCCTTTGGTGATTTTATTGTGATTCACTATAGAAATTACCTTTTTGAGTGGCCGTTTTGAAATTTAGCTTTAGAAGGAAATGGTATAAAAGCCATTGTAGGCTGAATAAATGTGAATTCTGCTTACTCATCACTACAGGAATTAGGGTAGACTGTCTCTTTACAATAATAGTTTCCTATACTCATGTTCCTTTAAAAGGGGGTGGGGGCATTATATTAAGAAGTCACAAGCTCTGACAGGGGAATTGCAGAAGAAGATTTCAGTTTAAAATAGCTCACAGTTCCTCTCTGATTTGGAGTTTTCACAACCTACATGGTATAGCACAGACTGTTCTCTTTTAAATTTTGTAGTAGAGTAGGTCAATCTTTTCCCATCTTTCTGCCACGGAAAGGGCATAAATATTTCCATCATCAGATTTAATAACCTGTGTTAGACTCATGAGTAATTGTAAATGGTGAAACACTTTCTTCATAAAAAAAATAAAAATGAGAGATAATGTGACTCAGTATTATTATTAGAACAAATCACCTTAACCCATAGAAAATATTTCTTTCCTGCAGCAATAAGTGTTGAGTATTTTTCCCTGGGGTCTCTAGCATCTCTTGATAAGAGTGAATATTGTTAGGTCCAGCCTGACTGGTGGCCAAGGCAGGTTAAGTTTATGCAATGAGTCGATTGTGGTGGAGATACATTTGCAAGAAATGGAGGAGCAGTCGGCATTTCACCTCTCTCCATCTTGTTCACCTTTCTCTCTCCCTCTTTAGAAACTGGGAGCAAATATTAGAGCTTACATGTGCTCAGTGAGAGTGGAGGGAGAAAGCTGTATTTTCCTGGGGGGTCTGGAGGCCTTCTCTGGGTTTATTCATTTTCAAAGTCACTGGTGGTTTGCTCTCTCCTGGGTAGGTGGAAGACATTGCTGTGACCTCTTGCCTGCTCAGGGCACACTGAAGTCTAGAAGCAAGGGTTGGAGTTCTCTGAGCCTGTGAGTGTCCCTATTCAAAGGTGCTCCTGGAAGTGTCTCCCTAAAGGTCTTTGATGGAGGAGGCTGGTATTTAATTATTTTTTTCTGAAGTGCACAGGCATAGGCATTATGGGTTATTGTAAAGCTCTAAATAGAGCCATGAGAAATAAGGTAAATCCATGGAACTGGGCAACTATTATTATTATTATTATTATTATTATTATTATTATTATTATTTTATTATTATTATTATTTTGGAGACAGAGTCTCACTCTGTCGCCCAGGCTGGAGTGCAGTGGCGTGATCTCTGCTCACTGCAAGCTCAGCCTCCCGGGTTCATGCCGTTCTCCTGCCTCAGCCTGGCGAGTAGCTGGGACTACAGGCACCCGCCACCATGCCCGGCTAATTTTTGTATTTTTAGTAGAGACGGGGTTTCACCATGTTAGCCAGGATGGTCTTGATCTCCTGACCTCGTGATCCGCCCGCCTCGGCCTCCCAAACTGGGCAACTATTATTTTAGGCTCATTATTTTTTGGCAAATGGAAATAAAAAGACTCCTCCCCTATTTTTATGACTTGGTTACTTTTAAAAGAAGTATGCACCGGACAAGCTGTGTTCTTCAGTGGTTCTTAACGGAGGGCAATTTTGCACCCACAGAGGACAGTGAGCAATGTCTGGAGACATTTTTGGTTGTCACACATCTGGTTGGGGGTTGCTACTGGCATCTGGAGGGGACACTCACTATAAGATGCTCAACACCCTGTAATGCACAGGACAGCTCCCCACGACAAAGAATGATCCAGTTCAACATCTTCATTGTGCCAAGGTTGAGAACACAGACTTAAATAGCTCAGAGTCTAGTTACCGTAACATCAGTACTGCGTTTTTTCCATGGATTTTAGAGTGGTCCTGGAGAGAGAGGAGGAAGGAAAATGTCATGAATCTCAGTTGCAATTCCTTTGGCTGCTAAAACCATAGCTGGTGATGCTTGTCATTGATTAACTTTATTTGCTATTTTCTTTCTTTTCTTATGAAGAAAGGGAAGCCAAATCTGTGTTCCCTCTTTTGTCATTAAGAACATGGATGCTCAGGGTGTTCCTGGGTTCCTCCAGCCATTTCTCCCTCAAGCAATTATGCTAATTAGTGTTTGATCAGATGATTAAATTATAATGTGATTAATCCTGTGTGCTAACCGCTCTGAATGCATTTTCTCTCGCCTGGTTGCCCTGTGCCTGAAGCACCCTTTTCTGCGGCTGGCGGAGGCCTGTTTTTCCTGTGGATGTGGATTTCTGTTTTCAAAGCACTGCAAATTCTCTTTGTTGCCTGGTAAAAGGGAGAGGGGATATTTTTGTAACCTGTTCTCTCAGGCAAAGGCTGGACTGGAGAGACCTCTGGGAAATATTGAAACCGTAGCTAGAAAGCACTAATGATTTGAAGATACTAGATGTGGAGAAACGCTTGAAGAGGAGAGTGCAGAGACAGCTGTAGTGGCTCCAAAGTCCATGAAATCTTTTTCTCTGAGAGACTTTTCGCTGTTTGCCTTCCTTTCCCTTCTGAGTGTTGCCTAAGTCTCTGCCTCTTGTGTATGTGATGGCCCCGGGAGGGGTGTTCTCGGTTTATTTTAGGTTTATATTTCCTTAAAAAGGCACGACATCATCTGGTTTTGTTTTCTGATAACACAGTTTAGGTTTGCTCTTGCATGCCGTGTACTTTAGACTGGGTGATTTTTTGAGGTGAGGTTCGTTAACTTAAAATGTTGATGAAATGCTTCCTAATGTAAGAAAATTGGGACTGCATAGGAAAGAATGTGAGTAGAAAATATCGATGGTGGTGTTGTCATTGATGGGCTTCTTCTCTAAGGCTGCAGATTACCATGGCTCATTGTGTAGTTTGATGAGCTTAGCAGTGATTGAATTTTTCCTTGCACCCTATCACTTTTTCTCCCTTTATATTAGCTTAATGGGGTAGTCTGGATACAAGAAATAAGAGCATGTAGAATATGTGCAGTTTTTTAAATCAGAATTTGCCTGTGTTTTGATCTGGCTGGAAACGATAGCCTCTTGCGTTCAAGAGCAGGTCACACGATGATACCATATATTACCATTCCAGCTTCCCGCATCCTAAGAACCCCTGGGCCACAAGAATTACTCATAGAGAGAGTAATTATCTGCATAGATTGTCACATACCCCTTCGAATATTGTGTAATCTCCTTCATAGAAATGAAAATCTCTTGGTTTGCTTTGAAGAAAGATATCCTCCTTGTAATTATTTCCCTAAAAAAGAATGAGGGTAAAAGGAAACTCGTATGTATTGGGCATCTAAAGTGTGTGGACACTTGAGTGACCATTTGATTCGCACTCGTTATGTTTATTAGCTACAATAGTAATGATCATAAAAACAATAGCTTGAATTTATGATTTATTACTAGATGTGAATATTGTTATTATGACCATCGTAAAGAAGGCATGGTTAGACAATGTGCTCATGGTCACACAATTGTTGAATGACAGACTGAGGACTACGCCTCTGTTCATTCTCAGTCAAATGGGTATTTTTAATTTCAGTTTTACAGATTGCAAAACCAGGGTTTGGAAATGTTGACTATCAGGCCCTGGTCAGGTGGCAACTGTGATTTGAGAATAGCACTTTGAGCCCAGGTTGTCTGGTGTCACAGTCTTTAAATCTTCTCCCAAATCAAGCCACATTCATTCATTTGAAGTTTTCAAGCTGAAAATGATTATGTTAAATTTTCTTTAAAGAGTTGTTTTGGGAAAGTGAAAGATCGGTTTTTAAAAATCGGTGTATAAATGGAAAATTCATTTACTTTTCCATGTCAGCCATTTCGCTTACTTAAGTTAGATAAGTAAGAGACAGGTTAATTAACTCTTACCCACTTCAGAGGTGCAACTATTTCATGAGATTGCATTCTGTTGGGAAGAGTAAAATTGGAGACCAGATGACAGTTATATTACATTCATATTACAGGATAGAATCTTTCCCCAACTCTCAAATTTAAATCATGCATCTGTTTTTAAGTACACTCTATTTCATTTGTCCTGAACTGACTACCAATTTTCTCAATGCCAAAATATCAGAATCAAAATATTTTTGAAATTGCTAATTGGAGGCTGAAATTGTGAGTTTTGTATCAGTTTGAGCTTTTCTGAAAAAACACCCAAATTAGTTTTGTTAGTAAGCGTCTGAATCTTATTGAAGCTGAATCATTTTACCGGAAGTGTCCATGGGACATGCGTCTTAAAGAGTTTAGAAAATACTGCCTAGACATTTCAGCCTGACTGAAAGCTCTTGTAATAAATAAGAATAAGCTATGCCTGTGTGTGCCTGTGTGTGTGTGCATACCTGTGCCACGCTATGGTGATATTCTTATTACTCTCTCACACTGAGTTAAGGTTCAAGCCAGCTACTCATATGTGATATATGTCTTCTGAGAAAGGACATTTGCCTTCTGTGGAGTGTGTCCATTGTCCAAATGTGATGAAAATAGACCAGTTCTCTCAGAGCTCAGAGCTTCCCTCGGCTGCTGGCTGCAAGGTGGTGGAACTCGGTTTATTGCCTGGTTGGCCCCTCTGCAGGATACACACTGCGTGGTGCTGGTTGGAATACTGTTCTAATGAAGTCACCATCTGGGTCCACTGGTTGGTCCCCTGTCGTGACAATTGCCTTCATCCTGTCCAATCAGCCACCTCACAAACCTTGGCCAGGGATCCCATGGAGAGTCTGACTACAGAGAAATTTAAAGATATTTGTCTTCTTGTCTGTGGCCTAAGCAGCCTGAATTTCATACTATGGTAATACTGACAGAATCACCTGTTTATGGAGTGGTGAATGAACCTGTTTATAGTAATTGCTAATATTCATTGAGCTCTTATTGTGTGCCAGAAACTGTGCTAAGTGCTTTTTTCTACCATCCCATTTAATTGACAAACAAGTCTTTGAGGTGCCTGTTGGTATTATTTCCACTTTACACTTGCGGAAATTCAAGACTTACAAAGGTGAATGCCTTTCCTAGAGAAGGCATACATTGAGCCGGGGTGGAAGCAGGATTTGAACCCGGGCAGTCTAATTCCAGAACTCCTGCACTTGACTTCCAGGCTGTCTTCCTGGATGAATGAGCCCCAGATAGGTCAGCTGGTTTCTGAGTGCACATACTATTTAGAGTGGTGATATAGCTTGGATATTTTTCCCTGCCCAAATCTCATGTCCAGTTGTAATTCCCAGTGCTGGAGGTGGGGCCTGGTGGGAGACGTTTGGATCACGGCTTGGCGCCATCCATTAGGAGGGATCCTTCATGGCGTGGCGCTGTGCTTCATGATAGGGAGTTCTCTTAAGATCTGGTCATCTAAAAGTGTGTGGCACCTCCCCCACCTACTCCCTGTCTCTCTTGTTCCTGCTTTCACCCTATGACCTGCCTACTCCCCTCTCACCTTCCTTCATGAGTGTAAGCTTCTTGAGGCTTTCTTAGAAGCTGAGTAGATGCCAGCACCAGGCTTCCTGTAAAGCCTGCAGAACTGTGAGCCAATGAAACCGCCTTTCTTTATAAATTACCCAGTCTCTGGTATTTCTTTATAGCAATGCAAGAATGACCTAACACAAATGGCCATGCTTATCTGGAAAACTGGAAATGTAAGTTATGGGGAGAGTTAAGAGGAGCCAGATAGCAAACATGGCTTTCTTAAGCTTTTCTGAAGGAAGATGTGGGAAAAAATGTGGCAATATGAGAACAATTTGGGAGTCTCAGGGTTGGTTTGTTTTCATCCCAGCATTTCTGGAATCTCAGCTCATTCCTGAGATGAGAGGCTCAGTCACGAAAACATTGCCAAGCACTTGTGGCCTCTCCCATGCAACTAAGCACCTGGTCATCCCCACTTCCCAACGTGCAGCATGTGTCACCCATCTTTTCATATCCATTTCTATGGTATTTGGATTAAAAATTAAACCCTCCAAATTTCAGCAGACAACACTAGGTGACCACCACCTGTCTGTAGTGATCTCGATACCATCACGGATCTATCTCTTGACAGCTGACTCCAACGCCAACTTGCTTTTCCTCTGACCTGTTTCACCAGGTGCTCACACCTACTCACCCATGTCTCAGAGACTATAGACTTTGTGATATACCTGATTATACAGCCCCAGCCTATCTGCCATTGCATCAGAGCAGCTGCACTTGACCAAGGAGCTCTCGCTGCACACACTGTGCTCTGACTGGTCTCATTATGCATGACCACAAACCTCGAGTGGGCTCTTAGCTCTGCCCTCAATCTACCTCACTGCCCTAGTTGATTTCTGTGTCTGTGGGAAGACTACTTCACACCTTTCTCACCTCCCCAAACCTCAAACTCCCCTTCCTTTCCCAGACTCTGAGTCGATAACCTCATATGATTTACTGAGAAAACCGAAGAATCAAGTGAATACTTGGACTATTCCCTGCTCTCCAATACACACCCACACACTCAATTTTTCATGTGATCAGCGTCCACTCCTGTTTTTATTGCCTCCCTTTCACCCCACTGATGATGGGGGATTCAGTTATAGGGGTGGTTGAACACATGACCCTGGGCAGATAAAATTGACAGCAGTGTTGCATTCAAGTATTCCCACAGCCCAGGGGAGTAGGACAGGGCAGGCCATACAGAGTGAACTAGCAGGGGCTGCGGGAAGCAGACCTTGTAGTAACAAGAAGGGATGGTGGCCGTGTGTGCACACCTGTAATCCCAGCACTTCAGGAGGCCGAGGCGGGTGGATCACCTGAGGTCAGGAGTTTGAGACCAGCCTGGCCAACATGGTGAAACCCCATCTATACTAAAAAACTACAAAAATTAGCTAGGTGTGGTGGCATGTGCCTGTAGTCCCAGCTACTTGGGAGGCTGAGGCTGGAGAATCACTTGAGCTCAGAAGGCGGAGGTTGCAGTGAGCTGAGATTGTGCCACTGCACCCCAGCCTGGGTGACAGAGTGAGACTGTCTCAAAAAAAAAAAAAAAAAGAGGGTGGGGTGTCCCCTGGTTCCTGAGGGAGGATGTGATTGGCTTATTTGGCTGATTCCACAGGCTGACGGGAGACCGAAGCCCACTACTCATGGGTAAGCAGGCACTGTGCCTGGTCCCTATGAGCGGAGTGCCATTTGGCTAGGGGACTTTATCCATGACAGCTCATGGGTGGGGGAGAACTAGCAGGTAAGCCCTTTGAGGCTCTTCTGAATTTATCCCGTTCACAGCAACACAATATGGAACCTTAATCTCAGGTCCCACACCAGACCCATACACATGACCTTCGCTACTGTGACCATGGAAGCCCTGGCCTTGCTCCTGTTGAAAGCTGAAACCTCCATTCATGTCCAGAATTCCACATCTCCCATCTGCTTAAAGACTTTGCCCTTGTATTTATTTTTATTTATTTATTTTTATAGAAACAGGGTCTCACTATGTTGCCTGGGCTGGTCTTGAACTCCTGGGCTCAAACAGTCCCCCCGCCTCAGCCTCCCAAAGTGCTGCAAATACAGGTGTGAGCCACTGCATCAGTCCTGCCCTTGCATTTTATCTCAGCCTCAACTTCCCCCTCTTCCAGCTCAGCATATCAACATTCTGTTTTCTCTCTGTTATCCCTACCACTGTAAAACGTACTAACAACCACCACCTCCCATCTTGTCACCACTTCCTTCTTCCATCCAATTCCTCTGATACTTTTTAATAGTAAAACTACTGGAAAGAATTGAGTATACTAGTGCTTCTCAAACTAACTGTGCTGAAAGATCAGTTTTTCATTTTCCAATCTGTTGCAGCTTGATGTGAGGTCCTTACAGTACTTGCCTCAAACACAGCTTGTTGCTCATGCTTCTTATCACATGAGTTGAACGATACACAAAGTTGCCTGTACCGCCCTTCCTGAGAATGGAGCCCACTGATCACCCCCTTGAATGTTGCAGCAACTTCTCAGTTTCTGTGCTTGTCTCACTGTAGACAAGAAACAAGCAGCTGGTCTGTACACACTTCGATTAGCGCTGTTTCAACTCACCTGACACTCTCATCTTTCAGTCTCTGTTGAACACACACTGATCAGGTCTTCTTCACCACTCCATTGAATCTGCTTTTGTCAATGAGGCTGATGACTTCCACATTTCTAGTCTTCTTTTTCTGTTTATTTTCTTTCTTTCTTTTCTTTTTTTTTTTTTTTTTTGAGACATGGACTGACTCTGTGGCCTAGGCTGGCATGCAGTGGCACAATCACAGTTCACCATGGCCTCAAACTCCTGGGCTCGAGTGATCCTCCCACCTCAGCCTCCTGAGTAGCTGGACTACAGGTGCTGCACCACCACGTCCAGCTAATTTTTAATTTTTTTGCAGAGATGGGGGTCTCTTTATGTGCTAAGATTGCAGGCATGAGCCACCACACATGGGCCACGTTTCTAGATTTCCTCATGTTCACTCTCTCAGCAGCTGTGACACAACAGATCACACTTCCCTTCCTGAAACACCTTCACCTGGACCGTGCACACCTCACTCTCTGGGTTTCCCTCTGCCTCACTGGCTTCTCCTTCTCAGTGTCTTTGGTGAGCTTCTTCCCTCTAATTAGACTCTAAATGTTGCAGCCCACTCCAGGGATTAATTCTTACCCCTCTCTTCTCCTCTCCTTTCCTCTCTGCTTCCTTTCCCTTCCCTTCCTCTCTCTAATTCCTCTCTATATAATTTAATTTAGGTCAAGGCATTAAATGCCCTCTCTATGCTGATGACTTCCATATTCGTATCTCTATCCATGATTTCTTCTCTGAGCTCAAATCCAGATCCTGAAATCCAGCTGCCTACTCAACATCCCTTTACAAAACTCACAGGTATCTCAACATTTAAACTCTCTGAAGGAGGCCTTCTGGATTTTCCTCCCTGTAACCACTTCTATCTCACATTTTGGTCATTCAAACTGAGCATCGCTCGTCCCTCACTGCACAGAACAGAAATCTCAGAGTCGTCCTTGATTCCTCTCTGTCCTTCACATCTTGTATTCAAACCACCAGCATGTCCTAGTGATGCTACTTTAAGAATCTGACCATTTCTTCTACCTTTAAATTCCTTCAAGCTGCGTTCTCCTTTTTGCCTGGACTATCATGATAATCTGCCAACTCACAGCTGAATTTCCACCCAGTAGCCAAGGGATTTCCTCAAAATATAAAGCAGATTACATCACTCCTCTTTCCAAAGCCTCTCCCTTCATCCCCAAAATAAACACAGCATTGCCTACACCTCAAACCCCTTCCATGGCCTGGCTTGGGCTGGCCCACCCCACCCCCTCCACAGAGCCATGCTGGCCACCTGGATGTTTCTACAGCTTGCTGAGCTGGTCCTCTCCTCAGCACTGCACTGGCCGCGTGTTCTGCCTGGAATGCTCTACCCTGGCCTTTTCCCGCCCCACTTCTTCACTTCTTTCAGTTCTCTGTCCAAATATCACCACCTAAGAGAGGTCTCCCTGACCACCTGATCTAAAACAAAGTGGCCTCCTTGATTGTTCAGTTTCTCCTTGCCATGCTTCAGGTTTCTTTGTGGAAGTCAGAGTACTTAAAATCATATACTTAGAAGTTTATCATCTGTCTCTCCCAACTGGGGAAGCCCACATTTGTCTACTGTGCTCACCTAGAAGAGTGACTAACAGGCTGCAGGTGCCCAGTAAGTAGTTACTGATTGAATAATTAAACCAATGAATGTTGTTTAAAGCAATGTATAGCTCTTAGGGACTGGATGTCATTGCTGTCTCTTCAGTTCTACTTTATTTATTTATATTTCTGATGGAATGACAGTATATCTCTGTGTGACAATAGTTTCTGCATTTGGAAGATCTGCACTTGTATTTTAATTAAAAGATCAACAAGCATTATGCCCTAGAATTCTCAACTCTCACGCACCCATAAAAGATATAACAATAAAACCCCTTACTTAAAAAAAAAATCTTTGTTGACTACCCATGTAATTTCTGATATGTTGTATATACTTTGAGGAATACAAAGATATTTGGTTCAAAAATTTTTGAAAATGTTTACTGAGGCCAGGCACGGTGGCTCATGCCTGTAACCCAGCATTTTGGGAGGCTGAGGTGGGCAGATTGCCTAAGGTGGGGAGTTCAAGACCAGCCTGGCCAGCATGGTGAAACCCCGTCTCTACTAAAAATACAAAAATTAGCCGGGCGTGGTGGTAAGTGCCTGTAATTCCAGCTACTCGGGAAGCTGAGGCAGGAGAATCACTTGAACCCGGGAGGCAGAGGTTGCAGTGAGCTGAGATCGTGCCATTGCACTCCAGCCTGGGCAACAGAGCGAGACTCCATCTCAGAAAGAAAGGAAGAAAAAAAGGAAGGAAGGAAGGAAGGAAGGAAGGAAGGAAGGAAGGAAGGAAGGAAAGAAAGAAAATGTTCACTGAACACCTATATGCACTAAACTGTAACATCCAAGAAAGCAGGGATTTTGTGTTGCCCATTGTAGTATCTTCAGTTCTTAGAACAAGGACTGACACGTAAGTTGCTCCCTCCATATTTGTTGAATAAATAAATGAGAAAAAAACACTATATTAACGACTGTGCAAGAAACAAAACAACTTCCTCTTTTCTGGGTCATGGCAAAGTCTCCAGGACAATAGGACATGCTCACAGCTTCTAAAAGGGTGTACCCAATAATGACCACCATGTCGGACATACAGAGAAAGCTCTGCAGTGTTTATGGAAGCAGAAAACAACTTCTGATTAGCCTATTTAAAAAGGGCTTCAAAGAGAGGGGGATTTAAAAACTTTACTTTTAAGGTTGTGTATGCTTTTGACTGGGAAACGTGGGCAGTGAAAAGATTGGCAGGAGAAAAGAGGAAAATGAGGGAAGTCCCCGGGTGTGGAGGGAGAGACACAGAATTCTATCAAGCTGCTGTGCAAAGTCATGGTGGAAGACACATCTAAAAATGGGATAGGGGCCGGGCGAGGTGGTGCCTGTAATCCCAGCACTTTGACGGGGCCAAGGCAGGAAGATTGCTTGAGCCCAGGAGTTTGAAACCAGCCTGGAAAACGTGGTGAGACCCAATCTCTACAAAAATATTTTTTAAAAAGTAAGCTGGGGATGGTGGCCTGCGCTTGTGGTCCCAGCTACTGAGGAGGCTGAGGTGGGAGAATTGCTTGAGCCTGGAAGGTTGAGGTTGCAGAAAACCATGTTTGTGCCACTGCACTCCAGCCTGGGTGACAGAAGTGAGGCCAGCTTCTGTCTCCAAAAAAAAAAAAAAAAATCAATAATAAAAATGGGATAGGGAGCAGATTGTGGAAAGATTTGAATTCAAATTTAGATGGAATTGAATTGAAGATTCGTGTGTTAAAATGCTCATCTCTATTTGAGCAATCAATGCAGTATTTTGGTTGCCGCACATAAGAGACATTGGAGAGCAGAGAGAATTGGTGGAAGGGTGGCCAAGCAAAGGCTAATTCCACGGTGCCGGGGTGAGATGATCTGCCACTAGGACAGTGATGGCGGCTGGGTACTGACCTAGGTGGGAGGCTGGGGGACAGAGGGAGCCCAATGGGGATGATCCAAGCATGACTGCTGATAAGGTTGGGTCTAGATTATCCCCATGGCGGTGTCTCACAATGTGAGTTTACCGTTAAACTAAAGCTGTGGATAGATTTTATAGCCTTGTGTGTTTAATTACTGCCAATATTGCCTACTTTTTTTTTTTCTTTTGAGACTCTGTGAAATTTGCGTTTCTGCAAACTATGTGCCAGAATGGAGTCATTGACAGGGATTTTATAACACCTGATGAGAATTATTCTATAATTTTATCACAGCATAACCCAAGAGATGCTGAAACCTGACTGCATTGCAATATGTATGGATCAGAGGGCACATCCTGAAGGGCTAATCAGCTTCAATCAACTCATAACTGACAAGTTTAATTTCTTCTGTTTTTTGTATTTCTCTTGAAATTAAAGTATACAAAAATGTAGTATTGACAGTGAATTTGGGTGAGGTTTCACTGTAGCAATCACCATCTATTATTTTACAAATCATTGGGATCAATTTTGGTTCCTGTTAGCATAAAGCTATTTGGGTTTTTAGTAACCAGAAAATGAAGGGTTAAGCACACCTATAAATATTTATATTTTTTGTTATGTAGTATAACTTGGTATCACCCAAATATCCATTTTCCCTCATTCATATCCTGAAAAATTTTAAGTTTAAAAATGTGTTCCACGTTGTGAGTTTTGAAAGCCTTAAACAAGTTGAATTGAGATTTACAGGATTCAACTTAGTGTAACTTTGACCTCAAAA
The DNA here is from genome assembly GCF_000001405.40 of Homo sapiens. Taxonomy (NCBI): domain Eukaryota; kingdom Metazoa; phylum Chordata; class Mammalia; order Primates; family Hominidae; genus Homo; species Homo sapiens. Next base: position 963,020 of record NW_025791814.1, on the reverse strand, counting down.
TAATTTACAATTCATTTCATATTTCACATCTGCAGCCTCACTTTTTCGTTGAGCAGCTTAATGGTTTTTTTTTATGGTTTATCTGTTTTTGGCCTCCTTGTCTGTCTTCCTTTCTCTCCTCATCTTGCACACTTATTGACACACACACACACACACACACACAATGTATGTATGCTAAGATTAAGCATTCTTTCTTTTTTGGGGGGGCGGTGCTGGGGGGCTGGTGTCTCGCTTTGTCACCCTGGCTGGAGTGCAGTGGCACAATTTCGGCTCACGGCAACTTCTGCCTCCCGGGTTCAAGCAATTCTCCTGTCTCAGCCTCCCAAGCCGCTGGAATTACAAGCATGAACCACCAAGCCCGGCTAATTTTTGTATTTTTAGTAGAGACGGGGTTTCGCCATGTGGGTCAAGCTGGTCTCCAACTCTTGACCTCAAGTGATCCGCCCGCCTCGGCCTCCCAAAGTGCTGAGATTGCAGGCATGAGCCACTGAGCCAGGCCGAAGTGTTATTTCTTATAAGAAGTTTATGTGTAAATTCTTTGCTTTTGTACTTATTGAAAAAGTTATAGTTTTGTACTTATTGAAAAACTGAAAATAAAGAGAAGTAGGGTTTACATATTGTATATACCCATCTCAACGTGATACAGATTGTGAGGAACTGGCACTATCTAAGCAGGGTGATCATGATACAGAATGTTACTAATGTTATTAATGACCGAAGATGAAACCAGTGTAAACTCACCAATGGGCTTTCTTAGAAGGAGAGCATTCATTAACCTGAAAATATTTACTGTGCTTATTTTATGTCCATTGGGAATATGGAATAAGATAAGCACAGTATAAATATGGTTTCTTAGTTGGCCATTTCATTAGGAAATTATGACATAGATAAGTACAAAGTAACAAAGTCTTTTTTTTTAAAAAAAAACAGAGGTAATATAAGCTAATAAAACAAGGAGACAAACTGAATAATCCAATTTAGTTAGATTATAAAATGAGCTCCTGATCATTCTAAAAAGACTTTTTTTTTTTTTTTTTTTTTTTTTTTTGAGAAAAGATCTCACTCTGTCACCCAGGCTGGAGTGCAGTGGTGCAATCTTGGCTCGCTGCAACCCCTGCTTCCCGGGTTCAAGTGATTCTCCCACCTCAGCCTCCCGAGTAGCTGGGACTACAGGCATGTTCTACCATGCCCAGCTAATTTTTGTACTTTTAGTAGAGACGGGGTTTCACCATGTTGGCCAGGCTGGTCTCAAACTCCCGACCTCAAGTGATCTGCCTGCCTCAGCCTCCCAAAGTGCTGGGATTACAGGCATGAGCCACTGTGCCCGGTCTTTTTTTTTTTTTTTAACTTTTATTTTAAGTTCGGGGATACATGCGCAGATTTGTTACATGGATAAACTTGTGTCATGGAGGTTTGTTGTACAGATTATTTCATCATCCAGGTATTAAGCCTAGTACACGTTAGTTATTTTTCCTGATCCTCTCCCTCCTCCCACTTTCCACCCTTCAATAGGCCCCAGTGTGTGTTGTTCCTCTCTATGTGCCCATGTGTTCTCATCATTTAGCTCCCATTTATAAGTGATGACACGTAGTAGGTATTTGGTTTTCTGTTCCTGCACTAGTTTGCTAAGGATAATGGCCTCCAGCTCCAAAGACATGGAACCAACCTAAATGCCCACCAATAATAGACAAGATAAAGAAAAATGTGGTATATATATACCACGGAATACTATGCAGCCATAAAAAGGAACAAGATCATATCCTTTTCAGGGACATGGATGCAGCTAAAAATGTTAAATATAAACATAGAGGAGAAAGGAAGCTTTGTGAACTGTACTTCGGGAGGGCTTTATGGAAGTGAAGCTGTTGCCACAGAATCCTAGGGAACATGGATCAGTGCTGTCCTGCAGTTTGAGAAGAGGGCTAGGCATTGAAAGCACTGCTGTGGGGTGTGTGTGTGTGTGTGTGTGTGTGCGCGCGTGTGTCTGTGTGTGTGCATGCATGCACATAAATCTAGAGACTGAATGGATCTGAAGGAGGCTGAAGAGCAAAATCCAGGCTGCAGTGAGAAGCTTTTAAGGACTCTCAGAGCAAAGCTGTGTGCAACAGAGCTAAAAGATAAAATGAAAAATGTACTGACTCTTAAGTTGTGAAAAGTCAAAAAAGACAATTTGACAAACTCAAAACAGTGAAGATGATTCAAGAAATTAGAGTGTGTATATATATATATGTGAAGATATATATATCTATATATATGTGAAGATATATATATCTCTCTATATATGTGAAGATCTATATGTGAAGATATATATATCTATATATATGTGAAGATATATATATATCTGCGAAGCCCTCCCCAACTACAGTTCATACATATATATATATGTCTGGATATCTGGTTTGGGTACAAAAAACTTGCTGTACTAAATTATTGATAATATATTTTAAGGCAATTTACTAAGTTAAAAGCATAATAAATTATAATCTATTATTGTGCTCTAGAGAAGTTATTGCTTAATGAGGAAATTAAGGTTAACATTGAAACCTGGGAGGTTCTGATGTTTAAGTGGGCATAAATCTTGAATGGAGTTAGGCTCAGGGCCACACTGGGTGATTTATCCAAATTCACTCACTCTTGATTTTTTGTTTTTTTCTTTGAATTTTTACATGGCTATGGAGTTCAACCATAAGATAATTTTTTTCTGTAATACATATTTATGACCCTAATTTAAAAAAATTTTATTTTACTTTCAGTTCTGGGATACCTGTGCAGAATGTGCAGGTTTGTTACAGAGGTATACATGTGCCATGGTGGTTTGCTGCACTTATCAACCTGTCATCTAGGTTGTAAGCCCCATATGCATTAGGTATTTGTCCTAATGCTCTCCCCCACCTTGCCCCCACTCCCTGACAGGCCCTGGTGTGTGACGTTCCCCTCCTTGTGTCCATGTGTTCTCATTGTTCAACTTCCACTTACGAGTGAGAACATGCAGTGTTTGGTTTTCTGTTCCTGGGTTAGTTTGCTGAGAGTGATGGCTTCCAGCTTCATCCATGTCCCTGCAAAGGACATGATCTCATTCTTTTTTATGGCTGCATAGTATTCCATGGTATATCTGTGCCACATTTTCTTTATCTAGTTTATCATTGATGGGCATTTGGGTTGTTTCCAAGTCTTTGCTATTATATATAGTGCTGTAATAAACATATGTGTGCATGTGTCTTTATAGTAGAATGATTTATAACCCTCTGGGTATATACCCCGTAATGGGATTGCTGGGCATGACCCCAATTTTTTACCTAAGAGCTTTTTATAGTTCTAGCTTTTTTTAGTCACAAGCAGGGGGCCTTTATTTATATATCCCTACACACATTATTTTTCTCCATAAATTGTCAACTTCCTGCCTTATCCCATTCCTGATGATGATATCCTGTTCTTGGGAATTAAGGCCCTAGAGCCCTAGAACCATCAACAGTTAGACATGGAAGGACCTTTGTTAATTACCTGTCAAAATCTTCTATTTGAAAGATAAGAGGGGAGTGAGGATCAAAGATGTAAATTGACTTCTTTAATGAGGCACAATATGAGTGGAATGGAGCTGGAACCCAAACCAAGCTGGCCTATCTCCCAGCTCTAGACAGTTTCCATCATGGCAAACATATTCATGAGAAGAATGTTGGAAGAAATTAGAAATTCGCATATAAGCCAATGCAGATCAATATATCCATGCTAGATTGCGTGATTTATCACAACAGCTTGGCCCACAATGATCTCGTTGGTTGACTGAGATGGGCCTTTTTTACACTCAAAATTTGTGAGGATTAGTAATTATATGGCATTAGCATTATGTTCCTAAATTTATGGCTCAGTGAATGCTAAGTATGCAATTGGGAACGTATACACAACCATTATGTGTTTGGCCCTTGTTGTTTCCTGAGACTCAACATCTTATAGGGTGAAAATCCAATAATGTGTTTTGACGACATAGACTGCCCCCACTGTCTGGGGAAGGTTCACATGGGGCTGAAAAGCTCCCCTGCCTGGGTGCAGCCCAGCACAGTGCTGTGGTTTGAGGCAATCTGTGTTCAATTACGGTAAAATGTTAAATTAGCTGAAAGAGAATTTTTCTGGTCACTTGAGTCTGCCTTTTGGACTCCATTAATCATTCAATCATTAAATCATTTATATTAACCCTTTCTAACCAGTCCTAAAATAATCAGCTTTGTGTTCCGTGTTTTTCCTCAGTTAGATTTTCTTGGGCAAATAGCCCTGGGCCCCAGTGAAGAATCCAGCCTACCTTAGGTGCTCAGTCAGTGTTGAGCAAATGGGTGGATGGCTGTTACGCAAATGGGCTCCGTGTAGGGCTTATTAGACCTCAAATCCTGGTTTCCTGTCATACTTCAACAGGAAATGCTACATTTGTACTTCAGATCTAAATTTTATTTTAAAGCCAGAAAAAGCTCTTTTTATATAAAATAATTATGTGGTTATTTTAAAGTAACAATGTCTCATTCCAAAGACCATCTCTTTCCTTTTTTGGTTCAGCTGTGTTTTAGACATTATCTAAATTTAGTCGTTCTCTTAGATTTTATCACATCTTCAAAAAATGCTATTTTAGAGTAAAGAATATTTTTAATTGTTCTGTTCTTAACCTCAGTGTCCATGGAGGGTTGGAGAAGAAGCAACATATATGAAGCTGAAGATTGATTTCTAAACCTTCAGTTAACGTTGGCTTTCCAAGAGCAAATGCTCAAGCGTGGGATAACTATCTTATGTGACTTTGTCTTTTTTTTTTTTTTTTTTTTTTTTTTTTTTTTTTTTTGTGAGACGGAGTCTGGCTGTGTAGCCCAGGCTGGAGTGCAGTGGTGCGATCTTGGCTCACTGCAAGCTCCACCTCCCGGGTTCAGGCCATTCTCCTGCCTCAGCCTCCTGGGTAGCTGGGACTACAGGCGCCCGCCACCACACCCAGCTAATTTTTTGTATTTTTAGTACACATGGGGTTTCACCATGTTAGCCAGGATGGTCTCATTCTCCTGACCTCGTGATCCACCCGCCTCGGCCTCCCAAAGTGCTGGGATTACAGGCGTGAGCCACTGCACCCGGCCGACTTTGTCTTTTTTTTAAAAAGAAAACAACACATCGCATGGGGGCGGGGTGCCTCCATCCAGGCAGTGTTGCAGGGACAGGCGGATGTCCCTTTACCACATCGAGGCCCAAGGAGCTTTCATCACCGGGAGCTTCTTTTTTTTTTTTTTTTTTTTTTTTTTGAGACGGAGTCTCGCTCTGTCGCCCAGGCCGGACTGCGGACTGCAGTGGCGCAATCTCGGCTCACTGCAAGCTCCGCCTCCCGGGTTCACGCCATTCTCCTGCCTCAGCCTCCCGAGTAGCTGGGACTACAGGCGCCCGCCACCGCGCCCGGCTAATTTTTTGTATTTTTAGTAGAGACGGGGTTTCACCTTGTTAGCCAGGATGGTCTCGATCTCCTGACCTCATGATCCACCCGCCTCGGCCTCCCAAAGTGCTGGGATTACAGGCGTGAGCCACCGCGCCCGGCCACCGGGAGCTTCTTGAAGTGATGAACCACGCAGTGTTATATTCCTTTTACCTTCTACTCTGTCATATAAATGATGACAAATTGCCTAGCTGTAAATTTGAAAGTCCCTAAATGGCATTTTTGTCAAAGCCTTGAGAACAAAATGCTTACTCGGAGAGATTTTTAAGTCTTGGGAGACGGGGTGGCGGGGAGCAGGCCTAATTATTATGCATCATGGCACAATGCATTATGCATCACGCTTGCTTTTCTGCTTTTTAAACACTTGTTATGGATGATGAAACTAATTTAAATGGACAAACAGGGCGCTCTCCTGCACATTACTCCTGTGATGTCATATTCTTCTTCCAGGGGATTTCATCCTGCTTCCCTTGGAAGTCCCCCAGACATGCACATTTTAATAAGACACTTTAATAATTAGCTTAGAGATAATTGTCAGTCAAGGGAAAATAACCTTTTATCATAGGTGCCTTGAAAGTGGCCTGTTCCAGAGAAGAAACAAGCGATCTGATTTGCACTTAAGCTTGCTTCCCTTTCCCTCCTGGCATTTATGTGGAATAAAATACTACAAACGGGGGAGAGTGTAAAAAAAGGAAAAGTGTGGGTGTGGAAGGGGAAGCCGGAGCTGTCAAATTGTTAAGACAAATGGGGCTTAGAGAATCCTAATTAAACCTGAAATTGCTTAGAAACAGGAAGTATGTATTCCTAATTGTTGGCACCAAAAAAAAAAAAGAATCTAATTTACTGCATATCTTTAAATAAGAATAACCCATTATTTGGCTGAATGAGAATTCAATCCTTACCTATTGAAGAGGTGAATGGCGTGATTTTAAAGGCTATGAAATTCACCTCCAAAGTTCATCATCAGCTTTAGAGAATGTCAAAAAAGAGCGAGCTCGAAGCCATGTGTAGAATTTTTTTTTTCTTTTTCTCATAGGTGTATTCTAGCTTTATTTTGGGGAAACTTTAGTCTATTGAGACCTTTAGAAATATTATTTGGGTCTCTAAAAAATAAATATGGGCATATAGTCTCAAGACTCAACAGAAAATAGATTCATTTTGAAGACAACCCAGCAGCGTTGCTTAATAAGAAAAAAAATGTATCCCCTTGGGCTAGGACTTCAGTTCCTGGGAGGATGTGAAAGATCTCTATTGCAGATCGCAGCACCAGTCTTTCCTCCTGTTATTGTATCTTTTGATGCAGAGGATCAACCACCCCTGGTTTTTGTTGTTGTTTTTATTGAGACAGAGTCTCGCTCTTGTTGCCCAGGCTGGAGTGCAGTGGTGCAATCTCGGCTCGCTGGAAGCTCTGCCTCCTGAGTTCAAGCAATTCTGCCTCAGCCTCCCGAGTAGGTGGGACTACAGGTGCATGCCACCACACCTGGCTAATTTTTGTATTTTTAGTAGAGATGGGGTGTCACCATATTGGCCAGGCTGGTCTCGAACTCCTGACCTCGTGATCAGCCTGCTTTGGCCTCCCAAGGTCACCCCCTCTTTTTATTTGGGGGTAGGAAGGGCATCTAGCATCCCGACACCTCAAATTCATCATCACATGGTGCAGGACAGAACTAAGGACAAATTAGGACCCTTTCTGAGCCTTTGCTCAAGCTTCAAATCACACTTCTTCTCGTTTGTACAGCACTTATAGCACTTTGACTTTCATTTATTTAAAAAACACATTGAATATGTTATCCCCACTTTTTAGAAACTGATTTTGCTGTTTTGACATTGTTTCTCTAGTAGACGGGAAGGGATAATAGATTGGAAGCAGGAACTGTGGATTCTGCCTGTGGTTGCCTCTCTGACTTTGGGATCTCAGGGATGTCAGCCACATTGCCTCATCTGTGGTGACAACCACAATGGTGACAGGTGGAATCATGATGGCTGCAAACTACTGAGCACTTTCTAAATGCCAGGCACTGTGTAGGATCTTTCATCATCACATCTCAGTCTCACTGTAGTCCTCTCTCCCCTTTACAGATGAGCAAACTGAATCACAGAAAGGTTGAGAACATTGCTGAAGGTCACTAGAGGTGTGTGTTCAGTTTGAATGCAGATCACCTGACTTCAGGAACAGTATGATAACCTAAATCCCTAAACTCATATCTCCCATCCTGTCTACCTCACAAAATTATCGTAAACAACAAAGCAAACGGCCATAACTTAGGAAAAATACTTTGAAAACAAGGAAGCACACCCTGGGTGTGTGTGACACTTCCATTATTATCACTTTCTCAGCATTTCATCTGGAAAACGGACGTAATCACAGTTGCCCTAGAAGACAGTGGTGCTCATTACATGGAAGAGATTTGATTAGTGGTGGAAAATTTTGTCTTTTAATTTGTCCAGCAGAGGGTTGGTGCCAGCTTTATCCTGGGAGACAAAGGGACCTACATTTGCTTATATTTGCTGACTAGGTTCTTGTGTCTGTGTGAGGGGCAGCCTGCCTTTAAGGCATTATCTGTGTCAGCCCAGGTTGAGGGCTTAGGGATGGAGGCTGCTGGTGGAAACAAATGAGCTTTGTTTAGGGGGAAAATAGCCTTATCTCGTGGCAGTCTGTCCCTTCCTATTTGTTCTGAGAAAATGACCAAGTGATAGGCCCTTCATCATGTACAAACACTCTTTAGATTGGGGTTACCTTTTTTCTTTGGGAACTGGAACTAACAAAATGGCAATGACCTGAAGGTTGAGAATGACTTCTCCTCTCCATTCAGCCCCTACCCTGTCAGCTGTCACTGCCTGCATCACTGGGCTGCAGCATTTCAGCATCTTCTTTCTGAAGCAGATCAAATCATGCTTAGAAAATTTGATGTGTGGCCCTTCTCAAGGGCTTTTCTTCACTTGTTTTTATTTTGAACTTGTAAATTGCTATCACATTTTCAAACACTGCAATCACCTCGCTAATTGCTGTTTTTCATGAATAAGAATACAAGATCAATGGCCTTTTCAATATTTTCCTTTACCGTGAGGTAATCGAAGGTCAGTACATAAAGCTCCTGACATTTCAGTTACCTGCTCTTCCTCCTGTTAACTGGATTACCTACTTGCCTCTTGTGGTTGGTCCCAGTGTTTTTATTTCTGCCTCTGCAATTGTCAGGGTGTGGTTCCAAGTCAATCACATCTGCAGGTCAACGTCTCATCTTCGTTTTCCATTATATCCTTTTCCCGCTCTTCTTCATGATTAACTAAAACCCCTTGACAACAATGATCTATGTATTTGTCAATGTTGCTGCTAAGCCTTTAGCATCACCACGGTAGAGACAGACAGCTCCCTTCCTCATCAATCCTTGTGTTTATGTGAGCATTTAAAATAGCTATTAGATGTAACTTAGAAAGAAGCAGTATTTCTTTTGTCACAGCACATCTTTTCAAGAGAGATTTTGCACTTCTCACTTTGGTCCTTTCTCTACTACGCTAAGGTGTGGGACTTCACACAGATTGTTCTTACATTTTTAATGAACAACAATAGTAAGCAATTAAGAATTTTAGCTTGAGATTAAATATTGAAAAATGTCACTAAAAGAGTTACAAAAAGTGCAACTGGACCTGTGCAGAGCCAGAGAGTCTGCATGGTTCTGCGGTTCTTCATGCGCAGGAGAATTACACAGTTGGCACATCCCAGCCCATGCTGGAGGCCACAAATAAAGCTGTTGTTTAGTATGCTCCAGTTGCATTTTGGTCACATGTGCTTATATTAATGCCTTTGCTTTCTGCTTCCTCTTGGGTATTATGTGGTTGCTTGGCTGCAACAGTGAATTCCAGCTGCATTGATGACCACTGGAAAACTGCAAGAGACCAAAAGATTCAGGGAATCGAGCCTGCCTCATACCCCTCATAAAGCTGGAAATTAACTCCAAAAGAAACCGTCAAAACTGGCTGTGCTCAGGGGCTCATACCTGTAATCCCAGCACTTTGAGAGGCCGAGGTGGGTGGATCACTAGGTCAGGAGTTCAAGACCAGCCTGGCCAAGGTGGTGAAACCCTGTCTCTACTAAAAATACAAAAATTAGCCGGGTGTGGTGGCGGGAACCTGTAATCCCAGCTACTCGGGAGGCTGAGGCAGAGAATTGCTTGAACTGGGGAGGCAGAGGTTGCAGTAAGCTGAGATTGCGCCACTGCACTCCAGCCTGGGTGACAGAGCGAGACTCCATCTCAACCAAAAAAAAAAAAAAAACAAGAAAGAAAGAAAGAAATCCTCAAAACTATACAAATATATGGAAATCAAATAATCTGCTCTTGAATAATCATTAGGTTAACAATGAAATCAAGACGGAAATTTAAAAATTCTTTGAACTGAATGATAATAGTGACACAACTTGCCAAAACCACTGAGATACAGCAAAAGCAGTGCTAAGAGGGAAGTTCACAGCATTAAATATTAAATGCTGACATCCCAAAGCCTGAAAGTGCCAAATAGACAATCTAATGTCAGACCTCAAGGAACTAGAGAAACAAGAACAAATCAAACCCAAATAATACCCCTGTCTTCATATACCACAGTTATTTAGATTAATCAACATATGTGTGGTCTCATAGGTTCTCTTGCCCAACCATGGTTTTTAGGTCAGAGAGATGTGGGTTCAAATCCAATCAACTCTTCCCTAGCCTTTTATGGAATGAAATGGTGTTTCATTTGTGCCGTTATCAATCATCATCTCTATTATACTCTTTAGGATATATTAGGCTGCACTTTTATGCGCATGAGCTTTTTGTATTTCTCCTCGTATTTCAAAGCCAGAGTTCTCTGAAGACATGTCGAAACCCATTTACTTATCTCCCTGCCTATACTCACTCAACACCTGGTGAATTTCCATCTGCCATTCCTTTCACTAAAACAATTTACCCCAAGATCACCAGTGACATACGTATTGTTGAATTTAGCAGGCAATTTTCAATCCTCACAGCAGTTTCCAACACTGGTGACCACAATCTCTTTACTGAAACAATCTCTTGCTTTGGCTTCCAACTTCCCACTTTCTCCCTCCTTCTTTTATTTTTCTAGTCTCTGTATCAACTGGGTTGTGCGTGACCTTTAAGTGAATTCCTTAAAGTTCAAACCAAGGCTCTCCTCTATCTTTATTCTACATCATCTTCTAGAATGATAAATGTGTGCCCATAACTTTCTATTTCCTACTGTACTTTGAGCTTCAGACCTATATGTTCAATTGTCTGGACATATCCACTTCGAACTCTCAAGGTTTCTTCTAAAGCTAGTAATCCTAACCAAGTTCCATCTTCTCCCTCTGTGGCCCACAAATAGCCATACCGTGAGAGTGTGGGTAGTCATGGTTCACATGTATCCAAAAAGAGAGCACAGGTAATGGAAGGGAATTTAGGTGTCTTGGGAGCCATGGTGTGATTTCTTGATGAGAGCTGTGGCTCAGGGGTCACTGTCTGCGTGCTGGGCACAGTGTGACAGTAGAATGCATGGACTCCCAAGCTGAAGATATAAGTGCTGGGTTATCTAGGAAGACTTCCTTCAGACACTGGTGTGATGGTGCTGTCATTGACCTGAGTACCTGCTGCATGGAAGGGGAGAACATATTCTTGCTAAGACTGGGTATTTGAGATGTGGCAGTTTATGAGGTCAGATGGTAACGATTTCTGGCTCTCAGTTGATTTGCTATATTTTTCTGATTCAATTCTGTTTCTCTGGTTATATCTGTTATATTCCTGCTCTCCCTTACCTGTTTCCTCACATCTAAAGAATACTTCACTCTTCACTTACTCACTGGTATTTTCCCTGTAAACCTCTATGCCTTCTCCTGATCTATTGTTTATCTCCTTGTAAGCTAACTCTTCTACTCTCCAATACCAGGAAGATGGGAGATGAAGAAGAAATATTCTCTTTTTGCTGAAGCAAGGATGCCTCAATTGGAGAACATAGTGAGAGTGAATCACAACCTAAAGGCACTAAGAAGTGAGAAAGGCCGGAACAGACACCAAAGTTGACTTCCAGTGGTCCCAGGTGCCTATCCCATATGGGACCCCATAGGTCTTCAACGCAATCTACTCAGCCTGGCTCAGCCCACAGAGAGGTTCTGTGGGAGATAAAGATTTCTCAAAAAACCAAAATGAGAAAGAAAGGCTAGGCCTGGAAAGTGACCCAAAGCTGAGTTAACTGCTCTCTCAGCCTCCAGGTTACCCATGAGGATTTCTCCTTTCTGTCTGCATCAGCCTTTGTTCTGTCTTTGCAGACTGCCTTTATCTGCTTCTCCAGCATGGACCACCTGGTTCTGCTGCTCCAGGGCCCCCTTCCCAATTTCTGGTGGAAAGAATCTGACTCCACGTGCGCCCATTGATGGGTGAACGTTAAAACTCTTTAGAACACACTTTCTTTTCCAGAATTCATGTTGATGAACTTGTAAGAATAATTAAATCAATTAAAATTCAACAAGCATCAAGTATTTGGTAGGTTATCAGGTACTTGACTGAGTCAATTCAGGATTTAATCTCAACAGGTAAAAGCTTAAAAAGGAAGCAATCATTTGAATTAATGTTTGAAATGCAGAGCCACAAATACTAATTTGGGGGTTCTGGCTAATATATAACACCCTCGAAAAGTCTGTTTGTATTTAAATATCACATGGAGGCTCTGTTTCTTGCTCCTTGACTCTGCACGCTGTAGCATGAAAGTGATGACATTGGACTCTCTGTCTTCTCTGGCAGAAGCCCACTGGAAAGGATGTGAGAAACCCTGACTAGGGACACACTGAGCCTTCCCATATTATTTAATGACAGTCTGTGCCAGGGCCTCCATTAATTTAACTGAATGAAATATTCCTATCTGGGGTTTCAATAGCCCTTCACTGAGTATCTCCTATACAATGTCCCCATCATGGTGTAGCCTCTCATTGCAAACATACAATGACCCCAAGTGAAAAAATTATTTTTATAACTATAGCATTTTTTTTAGAGACAGGGTCTTGCTCTGTTCCCCAGGCTGGAGTACAGTGGCACTATCATGGTTCATTGCAGCCTTGAACTCCAAGGCTCAAGCAATCCTCCATCCTCAGCCTCCTGAGTAGCTGGGAGTACAGTCACACACCACCATGTCTGGATAGTTTTTTAATTTTTATTTTGTAGAGATAGGGTCTTGCTATGTTTCCCAGACTGGTCTTGAGCTCTCAGGCTCAAGCAATCTTCCTGCCTTAGCCTCTTGGGTAGCTGGGACTACAGGCATGTGCCACCACATCCAGCTACAAAAATTTTCATTATTACCTCAGCTGGACAAGCGAGAAAACTGAAATCCAGGGAGGTTGGAGCTGGGTCAGCTAATTAGTGATGGGGCCAGGATCCAAACCCAGATCTCTCTGACTCAAAAGCTTAAACACTCTACCCAACCTTCTTGTGTTCCTGGTTTACCAGACTACCCACCAGGAACAGACTCGGGACCTACTGGGTTAAGGAGAACTTCTAATAAATTCATCTCTTTTTACATGACTTCTCTCCCCCTTTTCAGCAAATTTCTGGAGTAGAAACAATTTACATTCTTCTAAGATAATTTTCTTCCCCCTGAAGATTACCACACACTCCTTCCTGTGCACAGACCTGAGGGTGCAACGTTCTAGCTCCTCAGGAACTTCTGAGAGGGTGAATCGCAGATTTGGATCAGGGTGAAGGCTATGTTTGATCAATGTTGTTCCACAAGGAGATGCACAGTAACATTTAGACTACAAGGAAAAGCAGCTCCAGCCCTCTTCTTTGTCTGCAAGTTCAGCCACATGGGCTGTAATCTCATAGTTTCAACAGAGGGGCCTGCTGCCTCTGGCCTTACTGGGCAGCAGGTGGTGGGGACGGCTGTTCCTTCTGGAGCGACACTGCCATCTCGCCTGAAGTCAGGAGGCAATGGTGCAATGCACTGCTAATATTTTTCTCCTGAAGACTGATGACTTGCTGGATCTGTAGCTAAATGTCTTGTCTCATTTTCACAGCCACGTCATCGCCCTTTTCCTAGTGCTTGTGAGTGAGTCACGTGCAAGGGCCATCTGGGAGGAAGCGTTCTGTTAAACCTTTCTTTAAAGCATCTTTTTGATGTCCTGGGAAATGCACCTGCCCACTAGAGTTCAATTCAGCAAATAATTGTTAAATGATCACCATAGGCAGGGGACTTGCTATGAATATAACAAAGATGAAAATGCCAGTTGACAGAAGCATGACGTCTCCTAGAGGACCCAGATCCAAGTGAAGCAAGTGCAGTCCAAGGCAGGGCAGGGTCTAGGCTGACAGTTTACAAGGCTCAGTTTCTTAGCCACTTACCTACTTCTGAAATGCATTCTTATATGTTTAACATCTTTATTGAGCGATAATTTACATAACGTAGGATTCACTTATTTTAACTGTATGATTCTCTGATTCTTAACAAGTTCACAGAGTTGTACAACAATCGCCCTTTTAGAACTACCCCCAAAATATCTCTCATGCCTATTTGAAGTCACTTCCCATCCCTGCTTTGAAGTCCCACCCCCAGTCAACAGCTTCTGTCTACTTTCTTTATAGATCGGCTTTTCCTCAAATTAGGATCTGCTTCTGGAGAACTCACACCAAGACACGGCCCCTTGTCCAGTCTTATGAGCTACCAGTCTGTCCTGGGACATGGTGGCAGCTGTTGTCTCTTGCCTTTATCGTGGTGGTGGCTGTGCTGACCTGGGGAACCCTGGAACTTCTGCTATCAATCCCAACAGGCCAGAGCTAGGTGGATGCTCTGGTCTCATCTCATTGGATGAGACCCCTGTCCTGCCCTAACAGTCAGGACAAGGGTCTAATCCAATGAAGAGGGGCATCAAAGATTGTTCAAGAACAATCAGATTGACCATGGGAATGGGTCAGTGGTGAGCATGTAGGATAGTCTCTGGGGTAGAAGTTAGATGCTAGGCGCAGGTTAAGGAGCCTGGAGCTGATGGTCCAGGAGGGTTATGTCACCTAACAAAGCAGAGAGTGTCAGCTCATCTGCAAATGGCGTTTGCCTTTGGGGTAATTCCAGCCCACACTGAATAGCAGGTCCATGTGTAATCTCCAAAGTCTTCTTCAACTTTATGAGAATGGGCCTGGGCATGGTGGCACATGCCTGTAATCACAGCACTTTAGGAGGGCAAGGTGGGAGGATTGTTTGAACCCAGAGTTTGAGACCTGCCTGAGCAGCATGGTGAAATCCTGTCTCTACAAAAAGTGAAAAAAATTAGGTAGGTATGGTGGTGGTGCACCTGTAGTCTCAGCAACTGGGGAGGCTGAAGCAAGAGGAACACTTGAGCCCAGGAGATTGAGGCTGCAGTGTGCTGTGATCATGCCACTGCACTGCAGCCTGGGTCACAGAGAGAGACTATGTCTCAAAAAAAAAAAAAAAAATGATGGTTGTATTAACCCAAGGCCTACTTAGAATCTCAAAGACCTTTCTCTCTCTCCTCATCTCCTGCCAGAGCTTGACCACTCTGTGGTTCTAGCTGCACTTTTATCACTTCTCTGTTCTACTTGCAAGATGGCTTCTTTTCATTTTTTTGTGAACTTTGGGTCTGTATGTTGTCAGCAATCTTCAGTGGGCATTTTTGGGCCTCTTGGTCTTCTTGTGGTCTGGTGAGTAGAGATGTTGACTGATACAAGGACAGTGGAATTCCCCCATTGCTTCAATAATTTTAATAGCTGACCCTTTGAGGAACATTGAAGCTGGATGGTCATTCAGACTTGTCCCAAATTGAGTTGGGCTCCAGCAACACCCATTGACCAGTCATTGGATGAGTGATGTCTTTGGGGAGGAGGCGTCTTTGGTTGAGGTCATAGAAGGACTCAGCTCTGAATTCTTTGCAAACAACACACTCAGCAGATGAGGAGATGTGTACTTAGGCCCAGAAGTAGGAATCTGGACAGCAGACCACAGTTTCTACTATAGACAACAAAAGCCACACAGTGAACATGGAGCTAAAAGTCACTGTGGTTCATGAACTATAATATACCTCACAATAGCATGCTATAATATGTAAAAATACCCCTCGGACAGATAAGAGAAGAAGGTGGATAGAAATTCAGGCTTTTGGCCCTTTTCACCACTTCCCAACCCTCTTCCCTTTTTCTCTCTTCTCTTGTCTCCTGCCAGAGCTTGACCACTCTCTGGTTCTAACTGCACTTTTATTACTTCTCTGTCCCACTTGAAAGATGGCTTCTTTTTATTTTGTTATGACCTTTGGGTCTTTATATTGTCAGTTGCTATAAATGAATAAAGGCTTTTTCCTTCTTAGTGTGTTGGTGAAGAACTAGGAGTATTGCACTCACTGATCAGGAGGGAACAGGTCTAGGGAGTGCATAGAAGCTTTCCAAGAGGAGTGGACAGGAAGCCTGTCCTCCCCCTCGCCCTCCACCCCCATCCCGCCCCACCTCCTGCGAAGGCAGGAGGACCATGAACCTGCAATTTGGCTGATGGCAGTTAAGGGGTAATCAAAAGTCCAGGCATAGGAACTGGTTCCTTAGTGTCCATCCAAAGCCTCAAGAGGCTGACCTGGAAGGATGCAGGTGTGAGAAGCCATGTGTGGATCCCAAGTTTAAGGACATAGATGTTTTCCTTACAGAAATGGAATTTGGACACTATATGGTTACGTGGTCAGCCAGCAACAGAGTTCAATAATAATAAACCCCTAATAAAATATTTATGTTTTTCCTTATATTACGTTTCTCCTATGAAACACTTATTGATTGATTGATTGATTGATTGATTGATTGATTCATTATACTTTAAGTTCTGGGATACATGTGCAGAACGTGCAGATTTGTTACATAGGTATACACATGCTATGGTGGTTTGCTGCACCCATCAACCCATCATCTACGTTAGGTATTTCTCCTAATGTTTTCCCTCCCCTAGCCCCTCACCCCCGATAGGCCCCGGTGTGTGATGTTCCCCTCCCCATGTCCATGTGTTCTCATTGTTCAACTGCCACCTGTGAGTGAGAATATGTGGTGTTTGGTTTTCTGTTCTTGTGTTAGTTTACTGAGAATGATGGTTTCCAGCTTCATCCATGTCCCTGCAAAGGACATGAACTCATCGTTTTATATGGCTGCATAGTATTCCATGGTGTATATGTGCCACATTTTCTTTATCCAGTCTATCACTGATGGGCATTTGGGTTGGTTCCAAGTATTTGCTATTGTGAACAGTGCCGCAATAAACATACGGAAACACTAATTTCTTAGGGTGATGAAACTAATAGAAACACAGCCCTTGAATGTATTTGTACATATTGTAGCATTCACAATTTTTTCAGACCTCATAATTGTCAAAATGAAGGGTGGATTTTGAGTACCTCTAGGATTTGGAAATAAATTATGTGACTTTTTACCCAAGGTCATTCAAAGACGCTTGTGTAGCAACTCTATATTTGTATTGCAAGAGCTAGACTGGAACTTTAAAATATCATCAGATCTCTGTCAGGTAAACTCACAGAAATGAGCTTATTGGTCAACACACTTTTTTTTGCATCTTCAGGGTGCCAGGCACTGGGAGAATCGGGGCACCACAGATCTGACTCCCCACTTGGTGGAGCTGACAGTAAAGCAATCACGTCAATAATGGCAGCATTCTGCAGCATATCAACAGCAAAGTAGAATGCACCTTGGAAGGCCACAGTGGGGACTTAATCTAGCTTGTGGGCCAGGCAGGAAAGAAGGGCCAGCCTCATAGTGAGAAGGCTTCCAGGGATAGTAAATCATGATGTGCTGAAGGATCTGAGAAGAGCCCAGCAGGGCTGAGGTGTAGCAGGCAGGGGTATCGCAGTAAATCCCCAGCAGGAAACAGATGGCAGGCTCATCTTAGAAAACATTGTGTTTAGGCCAGGTGCGGTGGCTCATGTCTGTAATCCCAACACTTTGGGAGGCCGAGGCGGGCAGATCACAAGGTCAGGAGATCGAGACCATCCTGGCTAACATGGTGAAACCCTGTCTCTACTAAAATATAAAAAAATTAGCTAGGCGTGGTGGCAGGTGCCTCTAGTCCCAGCTATTCGGGAGGCTGAGGCAGGAGAATGGCATGAACCCGGGAGGTGGAGCTTGCAGTGAGCCGAGATGGGGCCACTGCACTCCAGCCTGGGTGACAGAGCAAGACTCCATTAAAAAAAAAAAGAAAAGAAAAGAAAGAAAACATTGTGTTTAATAAAGGGACCATTTACTATGGTATGGGCTGAGTGTCAGGACAACAGGCTAGATGGTATAGGGCTGTGTGATGATGGACTTGCCACCATCCTTAGGCCTGGAGGGGTCAAGGGGTCATGGCGTAATTCCCAGAACCTGGAAGGGGAAGGAAACTTTGGTTGACCAATGGAACAAGCTAAGTAGGTTCATTGGGGAGTGAGCCAAGGGAATGAGTTACTGAGTTTACTCTTCTACTGCCTTCCAGTCTCCTGTCTGGACTCCTGTGGCCCTGAACACACCAAAAGTCAGAGGGCATGGAATCTCACTGATGTCATGATTACTGGTCAGCCTCATGAGCCAGAAGGCAGGATGGAGGGGGAATGAACAAACAGAAGGAACCCTCACAAAACAGAGAGGGGGAAAGAGAGATAGACATACAAGAGAGAGCTAGGAAAGTTGGCAGTGGCCAGATTTTAAGAGATACTTGGCTCATATTAAGATTAAGGTTTACTTGGAAGTCACTGGGCAGTCATCTGTGTGATCAGATTATTATAAGAAGAGAAGTAGCAGACTGGAGGGTGGATTTGAGAGGAGCAAGGGTGGATTCTAGAAGGCCATTTGGGAGGTCATGACAGCTCCCTAGGAGTTGGGGGGAAGTGAGCTAATTCAAGAATATTAGAAGAGTCTCGTTCAGACAGCTGAGTGGACGTGCCTTTCACTGATTTAGGAAACATTAGCATTAGACCAATTATGGGGGTGGGGAAGGAGAAAGCTTAAGTGCAGGTGTGATCATGGTCAGCTTGAAACACCTCTGAATACAATTGGGTGGGGTACAATGTAGCAGCGGGAAGTTAAGTCTGGAGCTCAGTAGATAGTCCTAGATGGAGGGGAATGTTGACTTATAGATGGGAATTTAGCAATGGATATAGTAGAGGTCTCTAAAGAGCACAGGTAGCATGAACAGATACAGAAGGCCTAGGACAGAATCCATAAAAATGTCAACATTTCAGGATTGTGCAGAGACAGATGACTGAGTAAAGAAGACTGAGAAGGAACAGATAAGTAGTCGAAAACCAAGTGGGCAGGGCAGGAGGCAGGTTAGGGTGAGTTGCAAAGTGGCTGAGAAATGAGAAAATGAAACCGTGGGGGCTCTCATCTTCTCCAGGAAGGTGTGCTGGGAACGGGGAGGGGAGATAGGGGCTAGCAGGCAGAGGGTGGTAGGAGCAGAGAGAGCCCTGCTGGGAAAGGAGGACTTGAGCCTACCTAAATGATGACCAGAGTCAGTGGAGAGGCAATGGCAATGGAAAGAACAAGGGTCCAGGAGGAACAGGATAATCATCAGGGAAAGGTTGGAATGCGGAAGGCAACCAAAGCATCCTGCAGAGCGTGCATTTTGAATTTCTGTGATCCTCTGGAAAAACAACCTTCTGTGCTTCAATTTAAAGGAAGGTGCATGGACTCTGTGCTCCCCTGATTCTGAACCACACTCCATCAGCAAGGCCACATCCACATTCAGAGCTCCAGGAAGCCTCCCCTATCCCTGTGGACAGGACTTGGGGAGTGGCCTTGTACTGCACAGGTCACTGTCTCCATTCTAACCTAAGTGAGGGAAGAGTGGATTGGTCCCTGGAGTGTTTACAGACTTGGTGCTGATGGAGGGGTGGTTTAAAGGATTTTTAGCTATTTCCCCCCTTTCTTTATTAAGCAGAAGAGAAGACTGGGTCCTGAGAGTAAAGAGTCTGAGGCTTGAGTAGGTTAGAGAAGGAGAAATGGTCATTTTGTAGAGCAGGAGAGGGGATGCTCCTTAGAGACACTGAAGGACCATTTAGGCTGGTGACGGCAAATTTATTGTGACACAAATCTTCCCAGCTGTGGGATTTTCCCCAACAACACTCAACGGTCCAGACACAGGTATAAAGGTGTTTTTTTTTTCCCCATTCTTCCCTTCCTCTTTTCCTTCCTGTCTGATCTATCCAAGTTGGAGTTCATTACCCACAGATTCTATACATAAATGCCAGTATATTCTATATATACTAAAGTCTGTAGATTCTAGTAATTCCTAACTCACCAACCAACTACAAGGTTTAACAATAATAGAATCACACATATGTCACCTTTCTAAATCATTAACCTGAGAGACGAAAGAGAAGGGGGAGTCTGGGGGCCCGAGATCAGTGACTAGAGGGTGTTGCAGCACTAAAACATCACACGATTGATCAGACCTATCATGGCTCTTTCACTTTCATGAACATTTTGTGTTTTGCTTTAACAGAATTTGAGTCACTCCTATAGGTGGCTTTAGTGGTCCTTCCCTGGGTGTTTTCTCAGACTTGTGGTGGGTAATGGGGTAGCATATGTGTGCTCACGTGACAGAGTGGAGTTCTCATCATTTCACTGCCTTCTTGGCAAACAGAGGCAATGAGAACGTCAAAGGCATCATTTGCATTTGTAAAGCAAAAGCCAGTGATCACATCTGTATCTACCATATGGCAGATGTTCCATAATTATTTTGAAAAACATATGAGATTTCAGCTGTGCAGCACTTATTGGAGACTTGAGGAAAGAAATTTAGGGGCAAGAAATTTAGGAATGAGTATTATTTTCCTCTTAGAAACTGACTTCTCTGACTTACCCTAAATTTAGTACTTCCAAAGAGAATAACAGATTTTCATCATTGTAAAATATCAGCAAAAACAGACCAAAGTGCTGCCATAAGGAAAGGAATTCTGTTAGTGGTACCTTGTCTGTCTAGTTGTGAGGTGTGGTCAGCTGCGTAATGCTGTCACTTCCCCAGGATATCCATGTCTGTATTAGTCTGCTTTCTGTTGCTTGTAACAGAATTCTAGAAATGTGTAATTTATAAAGAAAAGGAATATGGTTCTTACTGTTATGGAGGCTAACAAGTCCAAGGTCAAGGGGCCACATCTGGTGAAGGTCTTCTTGCTGGTGAGGACCCTTTGCAGAGTCCTGAGGCAGCCCAGGCCATCACATGGTGAAGGGCTGAGTGTGCTGCTGAGATTTCTCTCTTTCTCCTGTTACGAAGCCACAAATGCCACTGCTGTGATAACCCATGAATCCATGAATGGATTAATCCCATTGTGAGGGCTATGCCCTCATGACCAAATCACCTTTAAAGGCCCCACCTCTTAATACTGCCACATTGGGGATTAAGCTTCAACATTAGTTTCAGAGGGAGTAAACATTGATATCATAGGCTTTTGCCCCTGGCCCCCAAAACTCATGTCCTTCTCACATACAAATATATGCAATCCATCCCCATAACCCCAAAGTCTTAACTTATCCCCACACCAACTCGGAAGTCGAAAGTCCACAGTCTCATCTGTGAGTCTGTGAAATCAAAACGGGTTGTCTACTTTCAAGGTACCTAGAAAGACTCACAGATTTCTATTTTCAAAGTGATAAATAGGCAAAAAGAAAGGCTTAACTAGTCCCAACCAAGTCTGAAACCCAGCAGGGCAGACATTAATTGTAAAGCTTGAGAGTAATCTCCTTTGACTCCACCTTAGCCTCCGAGACACTGGGGTGGGAGTTGGGCCCCCAAGGCCTCAAGCAGTCCTGTCCCTGTGGCTTTGCTTGGTGTAGCCCATGCAGCTACTTCTATGTGCTGAAGTCTGGTCCCTGAAGCTGTCCAACGTGGGCATTGCATGCTACTGGTGACTCCACAGTTTTGGGATCCTGGTGGAGGTCCTGCCTCTATGGCTCCATTAGATATTACCCTGGTAAGGACTCTGCAGCAGCTCTGACCCTACAGTTACATACAGCATTGCTCTAGTGGAAACTCTTTGTGGTGGCAACCCCCCCTGTGACAAGTCCCTGCCTGGGCCCCCAAGCTTTTGATGACATCCTTAGAAATCTGGGTGGAGGCTGCCAATCCTCTACAACTCTTGCTTTCTGCAAACCTGAGAATTAGCACCACATGCATGCTGCCAAGAGCCTGCAGAATTAGCGCTACATGTATACTGACATGTGTATTCCTTCCAGAGCTGTGCCACAAGCCATACCTAGGGTCTCTTGAGCCTAACTAGGGCAGTTGTGGAGCACCGTTCTGGAGTGCAGGAAACAGAGTCCTCTGGTGGCCTTGGGCACTGAGCCTATGGAGGGTGCCCTTGGTCTAGCTCCTGAAACCATTCTGCCATCTTAGGCCTCTGGGCCTGTGATGAGAGAGGCAGCCTCAAGATCTTTAAAATGCCTTCAGGATCTCTTTTTTCTGCTATCTTGAGGAAAAGCACCTGGCTCCCTTCTATTCATACTAATATGTTTAGCAAATGGTCTCTGAGCTACACCCTTGATTTTCTCTCCTGAACACACTTATTAACTTTTCACTTGGCCAAGATGAGAGCTTTTCAAATCTTTCTGTTCTGTTTCTCTTTTAATTATAAATTATGTTTTTAAATTATTCCTTTGGTCCCAAATATCAGCATAAGCAGCCAAAAGTAACCATGTAGCTCCTTTTATATTTTCCTTAGAAATGCCTTGTGTCAGACCAAGGCAGGGGGATCACAAGGTCAGGAGTTCGAGACCAGCCTGGCCAACATGGTGAAACCCTGTCTCTACTAAAGACACAAAAAATTATCCAGGTGTAGGGGTGGGCACCTGTAATCCCAGCTACTTGGGAGGCTGAGGCAGGAGAATCACTTGAAATCTGAAGGCGGAGGTTGCAGTGAGCCAAGATCAAGCCACTGCACTCCAGCCTGGGTGAAAGAAACTCCATCTAAAAAAAAAAAAGGAGAAGAAAGAAAGAAAGAGGAGTTTGAGACCAGCCTGACCAACATAGTGAAACCCCGTCTCCATTAAAAATACAAAAATTAGTTGGGCGTGGTGGTGTGTGCCTGTAATCCAAGCTACTCAGGAGGCTGAGGCAGGAGAATCACTTGAATCTGGGAGGCAGAGGTTGCAGTGAGCCGAGATTGTGCCACTGTACTCCAGCCTAGGCAACAGAGTGAGACTCCGTTTAAAAAAAAAAAAAAAAAAAGAAAGTAAGAAAGAAGAAAGAAGAAATGCCTTGTGTCAGATATCCTAGTTCATCATTCTTAAGTTTGGCCTTCCATAAAGCCCTTGGGCAGGGACACGCTTCAACCAAATTATTTGCCAATTTATAGGAAGAATGGCCTTTACTCAAAATTTCAATACCTTGTTTTTCAGTTCTATCTGAGATCTCATCAGAATGGCCTTTACTGGCCATATCTCTATTAGCATTCTGGTCACCACCATTTAACCAATTCCTAAGGAGTTACAAACTTCCCTTAGTTTTCTTGCCTTCTAAGCCCTCACCAGAATCCAGGCTTTTTCTAGCCTGCTCCCTCAGCTTCCATCCTCTGCCCATTACCCAGTTCCAAAGCCACTTCCACATTTTCAGGTGTTCACTATCATCAACACCCCACTCCTGGTACCAATTTTCTGTCTTAGTTCGTATTGCTTATAACAGAATGCCTGAAACTGGGTAATTTATAAAGAAAAGTAATTTATTTCTTACAGTTATGGAGGTTGAGAAGTCCAAGGTCAAGGGGCTGCATTTTGTTGAAAGGTCCTTTTGCTAGTGAGGGACTCTGTAAAGTCCTGAGGTGGTGCAGGGAATCATATGGTGAGGATGCTTAGTTATTGTTCAAGTCTCCGTTTTTCCTCTTATAAAGCCACTAATGTCACTCCTGTGATAATCTATTAATCCACTGACTCGTTAATCTATTAATCAATAAATGGATTACCTCTTAAAAGTCCACATTTCAATATTGCCACATTGGGGATTAAGTTTCAACATGAGTTTCAGAGGGGACAAACATTCAAACCAAAGCAGTGTACTGTCTCCAAAACCTGTAAATGCTACCTTATATGGCTAAAGGAATTTTGCAGATGTATTTAAATTTAGGCTCTTGAGATTAGAAGATTATTTTGGATTAACTATTAAGCCTAATGTAATCACAAGAATCTTTAAAAGAGAAAGGCAGGAGATCAGAAGGATAGTAAAAGATGTGATGATGGAATAAGAGGTTGGAATGATGTGTCTCTCATAAGCCAAGGAATTCAAGAGGTCTTTACAAGCTGAAAAAGACTTTATGAGGTGGAAAAGCTTTACAAGCTGAAAAAGGGAAATCAGATATTCCCCATGTTCCTTCAAAGGGAGTGCAGCCCAGTTTATATCTTGAGTTTAGTTCTGTGAAATTGAACTTGGACTTCTGTCCTCCAGAATTGTAAGAGAATAAATCTGCATTGTTTAAAGCCACCAAACTTGGGGTAATTTGTTATAGTGGCAATAAGAATCTAATACTGTAGAATAATTTACTTTGAGTTTTTTTTCTCTGAGTTTCACCAATCAGCTATTCCAATGTATATTCATTATTGATTTTCCTGCATAGGGAAGGTAATGTCAGCAATAAATTTGAGTTAATGTGTTAGCTCTCAATTTACCTATTGGCAATATAGATTCAAATTAGAGAGGAAGCATCACCTACCCCAAAGCCCCAGCAATCTAGTTCTTTTAACTCATTTCACTCCCAGAGTAAAACAGGTATTTTGGTAAGGGAATCACTGATGTTACTTACAAACACAGGCTCTCAATTAAAAAAATAAAATTTTCTTTTTGGTCCAAGCTTTCTCTTTACACACCTCAATACCATCCTTTGCCTACAAACTTAACTGTGGATATCTAAAAATGTCTTTATAGGGTAATAACATTTTTCCAAAAGTCAGTAGCTTAATTTTAGAAGTAAAACATTTTAATGGCTTAGGCTATAGTTTTATAGCATTGGGAATGGAATTTTCCTGTTTTTATGGTAAATTTGTTTATCTAAATTGTTCTAATTTTAATCTCTTTAATTTTGTATGACCTTTATTTTATTTTTAATTGAAGAGCAATATATACTGAATGGGTGAAGTTTGTAAAACACTTGAAACACACAAAAAAGCAACTCTTGTAGTTCTACAATGTAGAGAGATACTGCTAACAGTCTGGTATGTCTTTTATTAAACATTTACAATTAGGTGATTGTTTTATTCTTTTTTTACTGCTTCATGAACATTTTCTTCACATCAGTAGACGTTCTTCCATATTACACTTATAATGACAACATCCTAGTTTATCGTATGTATCTGCTACTATTAGCTGATCCTCTACTGTAGATTCAGGTCATTCCTGAAATATTATTATTGCCAATTCATGTGCTTTGCTCATTTCTTTTTTGGTGTGTTATTTGAAAAATAGGTTTGCAAGCTTTTATAAATGCTAGGCTTATTAATTTTTAAAAGGTATGTATAATCTTCAAAGGTCATTATTTGCCTTTTAATTTTGTTTATGGTGAGCTTTATTGATATATAAGCATTAATAAATTTCATGCAATCGAAACTACTTGGCATTTTCATTTAGGGTGTGTCTGTGATGATTTGTATTCTCTTTTTTTTTACAGATAGGTTTTCTTTTGTCTTGATGGTATACTGGATTTTAACTCTTTTCTTCTTTTAGATCAAATGCATATTTCCTTCTTCGTGGTGGAGCAGTGGTGTTTTTAGTCCTTAACTAACCACTTAGCTTATTCTGTATTAAGAACATTTTTTCCCACTTAGTATATTTTTGACCCTAAATCTGCTGGCTAACTTGATAGTCTGATTCATCTTAAAGCGGCTCCAGGCTGAATTCAATTACAAACATAAGGATAGTATTACTATCTTCTGTAAATATGCACATACTTACATTGTGAGTTAAATACCTAAAAAAAGTAATGTGCATCTAATGAAGGATCTTTTTTTTTTTGTCCCAGATGACAAGATAAAATTCTTAGTACATGGTTTCCATTTTTCATATTTTGGTAATGTCCCCACTATTAACAACATAAACTGATAAATTAGAAAACACCAGATCCTTACAACTGTATTAAATTTGAAGAAAAAAATGATTTCTTTCTATCAAGGTAGAGAAAAAAGAAGCTGAATAAGCTCTGGGTTTCTGGAATGTCTCCATTCAGCTCTTTCTCTGCTTATGTTCCAAACAATTGCATAAAAGCAATCCCAAACAAATGTTTATAGGGCTGCACTCCGAAATAAAGATAATGAATTCTACATAACAAGTACACTCTTTCCCCTGGCTGTTTGCATTTAAAATGTACATTTTGCAGTAATTTTGATGACTTCATTTTGAAGCAGTTCTTAACAGACATTTTGGAAATGTCTCATGTCATGAATTTATTCATAAACCAGCCTGTCAAAAACCTTAGTGTTCACTGGGGAGAATGTGTCTCAAATGCACAAGTGGTTGTTCCACCTACATCATCCACCATCTTGAAATATCATTATTCATTTCCATTACTTCTTGGATGTTCTGGTTCACTGCTACTGGGTTTCGCAACAGTGTGGAGAAGAGACCATGACATTGAATTACCGGCTAAGCAGCATCCATAAGTGTTATATTCCTCCCTTAATTATGATGAGAACTTGTGTTTAGGAAGCTGTGATGTTTACTGATATGGTTAATGGTCAATGTCACTCATCAAAAGGGTGATAAGACAATAATGGGATCTTGGAACAGGGAAGTCAAGATAAGCACAATGTGTCATTTTTTCCCCTACAAGCATACAGTCCTTAATGAAGACAAATAGGCCCTAATGTTTATTTGTTCAATGAACATGCTATTGGATTGTGAACAAGAGGTCAGCGTGACTAGCAATGAGGTGTAAGCTGCTCTATCAAAGGGTGATATTTAGTGACTAGAGCAAGTCCTAGAATGTTTTACAGTAAACCATTGTAGTTACAACACATTGTTTCTACCCCTCTGATCTCCAAGAGACAAGGAAAATAAGTGGATACTCTTGTCTTTCCAATCTGGAAAATAGAATTGGAAGTGGATGCTTTTTTTCATTTCTAATTCATAGCTCTTTGATCTTGATTATTCATGAAGCATATGCGTCCATGACCATGTGTTAAATCAGCACTTATCATATTTTATTGTGACATTCATTCCTGGGAATTTTATTAAAATGCAGATTCTTGGGTGGGAGCTGAGATTCTGCATTTCTAACCAGCTGTCAAGTATTACTCATACTGTTTCTGGTCCATGGACCATACTTTGAGTAGCTGACTGATTCCAACTTGCAAGACAGAGACAGCAGAACCTGCCTACATAGATTTAGAACCTTGTCTCATAATAGTGCATGTATGCTTAGTGAGGCAGCATAGTAACATGGATAAAAGTGCAGGCTCTGGGTGTGAATTCTACCACTACTTTTGCTAAGCTTTGTGTAGTGCCAGTCACCCCTATAGTCTCTGTGATCAATGACAACAAAGATTTATTTTGTGCTCACATTACGTGTTGGACTGACTGTTGGCCACAAGTGTGCAAATTCTGGGAACCACTTTAAAGACAGCCTTCTCTGGGACATGCCATTTTACCCTCATCTTTTGGGAACCTACAATGACTAAAACTTCTGCTCGGATTTGCCGATGTCATGTCCACTCACATGCTATTGGCCTGAGTCAGGAACATGGCCAAGCCTGATGTCAATGAAGCAGGGAAGTAGACTCCTTCTGCACACAGCGTGTATAGACATATGGCCTCCTGCAGGAAAGGGAGTGAAGAGTTGGGACAAGAACACACTTTTCCATTGTGACTTAGTAGCTATGTACTCTTGTTATTTTCACAGGATTGTTTTGAGGATTGAATAAGCTAAAATGGATAGTACATTGTACCTACATGACACTTAGGAGAAGCTCAATAAATGCCTGTAATTATAATTGCTTTTGTTTTTGTTCTCATACTTCACCCTAGTCCTCACTGCACAGTTGCTGTACCCTTGAGGTTGAGAAAAGTCCCTCTCCCTGCCTTTCATGATACATGAAACATACTGAGGCCCACTAAATACCAAACAATCAGATCATCTGAGGCATCTGCAGTTAAAGAAAACTGGATTACTACACAATCAGTTATTTCCAAATAATTTTAGACAACGATTGACTTCTTCCTGGCCATCATATTTTCTGAGTTTTTGACTTGAGTTTCAGATCACTAGATTTCCCCTGATTATTCTCTGAATTTGTTTTATGGCCTGTTCTTGGGTCGTTTGTTCTACAGATGTGTACTGAGCATCCAGTGAAAGTCAGCTGTTGTGTGAGGAGCAAAGATTCATATAAAGTGTGGTTACTATTTAATGAAAGTTTGTGAGTACACTCTTCATAGACGCCCTCATTCACTGTTATCTAATTGCCAGGCAGTGCTGGATGAGGGTGCAAAGGTGAAATCCAGCCTAAATAAATAGGAGTCTGGGGAGCTTGAGCATATTTAGTTAGCCAAGGGGAATCACTATAGCTTGTGAACAGTCCAGGAATATGACCTTGGATTTCGAAAAAAAAAAAATTGTGGGTAGTATATGTAAGTTGTTGGAGCCTCTGCCATTGGGCACTTGGTGGAGTGAGATTATAGGGCTGTGAGCCAGAGCATGGTGTAGTGAATGGGATAGATGTGTTTGTGTGAGAGGAAAATATCCAGTGGCTGCATAGCTCTGAAGATTATCAGTCCAGGCAATTGTGGACAGGCAATAAGTTTATGTGATGGAGGAGGTAGTGCATTCAACTGGGGCCGAGAGTTTGCGTTGTGAATAGTATAACAAGACACAGATGTTGGAAAAAGGGGTTCAAATAATTTGCAGACCAGCTATCCAGGTCAACTAGCTGATGATCCATGACACAGTGCATGTTAAAGGCCTATCAATCTTATTGTGTAGAAGGAGTATAGACCAAGGGATACGTAGTCATTAAATGCTGAAGGTTGAGATCCTTGTTGATGCAATTGTTCACTTTACTAAGAGGTACTTTTTTTTTTTCAATTTGACTAAGAACAGGCCTGAAGATTATCAGTCCAGGCAATTTTGGACAGGCAATAAGTTTATGTGATGGAGGAGGTAATGCATTCAACTGGAGCCGAGAGATTGTGTTGTGAATAGTATAACAAGACAGAGATATTGGAAAAAGGGGTTCAAATAATTTGCAGACCAGCTATCCAGGTCAACTAGTTGATGATCCATGACACAGTGCATGTTAAAGGCCTATCAATCTTATTGTGTAGAAGGAGTATAGACCAAGGGATAAGTAGTCATTAAATGCTGAAGGTTGAGATCCTTGTTGATGCAATGGTTCACTTTACTAAGAGGTACTTTTTTTTTTTTTTTTCCAATTTGACTAAGAACAGGCGTGCTTTACTCATAACACACTTGTTTTTGGTGCAGTATATCGCAAAACAAAGTTGCTGTGTTAAGTTTAACTGTGATTTAAACTGATGTTGCCTGAGTCCCCAAAGACCAATGAAACACAAGTGGGATGGAAAAAGCAGCCACTTCTATTGTTGCCAAATGATAGAAAAGATTTGAAAAATCAAATGCATCAGGTTAGCCTCACTGTGCAGCAAGGAAAAAAATGAATTAATTATAAATAAGATGAATAAATAATTTAAATATATCACTTATTGCTTCTTTATTGCTTAACACTTGAAAAATTGTTTCAATTAGAAACTTAAACTCAATTTGATAGACGAAGAGTGTGCAGCTCAAGATAAATGTAAATCCCTTTGCGATATAAAAATTTGATTTTGCAGTATGAGCTCTATTAAAAAGAAATTAATAATCTCTAGAAAAAGAAGGCAGTGCCAAGGAAGGTTGGCCTTTTCCCACAGAACATTGCTTTTTAAGAGGAAAAATCAGTAAGCTTATTATAGAGAAAATTTTTTAAAAAATCAGAAACGCAAAATACTAACCACCAACCCCACAAACAACAAAACTAATAAGCATTTGTCTCTCTGGATTTCATATTAAAACCGTAGAGTAGGTTTTTGTGCTTCTTATATTTCACATGATTTTTTGTCTAAGCCAGACAAAATGCTTCATTCTCTCTTTGAGTTTGTTGGGCCTATAAAAAATGGTAGAACAGTCCAGGCATCGTGGCTCATGCCTGTAATCCCAGCACTTTGGGAGGCCGAGGCAGGTGAATCACCTGAGGTCAGGAGATTGAGACCAGCGGGGTCAACATGGTGGAACCCCGTCTCTACTAAAAATACGAAAATTAGCCAGCCATGGTGGCGTGCGTCTGTAGTCCCAGCTACCCGGGAGGCTGAGGCAGAAGAATCATTGGAACCCAAGAGGCAGAGGCTTCAGTGAGCCGAGATCACACCACTGCACTCTAGCCTGGGGACAGAGTGAGACCCCGTCTCAAAAAATAATAATAATAAAATAAAACACCAGAACAATTTCATATTTTTTGTACCTAAAAAGCAAGGGATTTATGTATCTGAAGTCACAATGGACCTTACCCAAGACAAGAGTATCCTGGAAAGTTGCTTTGATTCCTGTGCCATCATGTTCTAATGCTGCAAACCCTCTCTCCGCATTCTTGGCAGATATGGCCAATTAATGAGATCATGATCTTTTGTATGTCCAGTCTAAACCTCAGAATCCCTCCCATCACAGGCCTCCAGCCAGCCACTTCTTGGCACGTGGTATGAAACCTACTGCCCATCTGTCCCAGCAGCTGAAGGACTAAGAGTTCAATAACATTTTATCTGGCACATGAACAATTTGCCTGATTTCTTAACTACGTGCAAACATCTATCACCTTATGTTTTAGTTCAGTCTGCAGAAATGAGTTCTTTCTATTATGTATAGAAAAAAAGCAAATGTCTCAGGAAATTATGTGGCCTATGTATTTTACCTTTTGGACCTAAATATACATCTAAGAACTAAATATGGCCTGAGAATCAGCTCCCCTCCTCCCCAGAATCTCATAACAAACTGAACACTCATCATCCATCAAAAAGCAAACACAAAATAAGAAAACACCAGCTGGGCCACAAATGCCAGTCCAGGCAGCTTTCAATTAACATTCAGAGCTGTCAGAAACTCTACAGCAGGGGTAGAAAACGGATGGTCTCAGCCCACAGATGTCTTGCTTGGCCAGAAGGAGTTTTATTTCTTTATTCTGGCCCTATGTGGGTCCCCTCCTCTCCAGGTATCATAGGCTTCCATACTGCCCCATTCTCTTTATCCCAGTGACATCTGAAGACCCCTGACTTTGTGATTCCTGATGGCAGAATTCTGTCTTTCCTCATTCTCAGTCACATATCCGTTTATCTCTCTTTTATGGACTGAATCATGTTCCTCCAGAATTCATATGCTGAAGCTGTAAACTCCTAATGTCACTGTATTTGGAGATAGGATCTTTAAAGAGGTGTCTAAGTTAAAATGGGGATATTGGGGTGGCCCCTAATTCCATGTAAGACTGGTATTTAAGAAGAGGAGATGGCCGGGCACGGTGGCTCATGCCTGTAATTCCGAGGCAGGTGGATCACCTGAGGTTAGGAGTTCAAGATCAGCCTGGCCAACATGGTGAAACCCCATCTCTACTAAAAATACAAAAAATTAGCCAGGCGTGGTGGCGCATGCCTATAGTCCCACGTACTCAGGAGGCTGAGGCAGGAGAATTGCTTGAACCCAGGAAGTTGAGGTTGCAGTGAGCCAAGATGGCGCCACTGCACTCCAGCCCGGGCAACAGTGAGACTCTGTCTCAAAAAAAAAAAAAAAAAAAAAGAAGAAGAAGAAGAGATTAGGACACCGGGACACAAAGAGGGATGGCCATGTGAAGACGTGCGGAGGAAGACGACCATATATAAACCTCAGGAAAAAACCTACCTCCAAACACCATGATCTCTAACTTCTAGCCTCCAGAACTGTGAGAAGCAAATTTCTGTTGCTAAGATCCAGAGTCTGTGGTCTTTCACTATGGCAGCCCAGACCAACTAAGACACCATCTCTAGTCCTGAAATCGTGAGGAAGCAGCACTCCCCAAGTCAATCTACATTCAGTGAGCTGTGGGGAAATGGACTGCAGTGCTGAGCTTCACGGCCTGAGTCCCTAAGGTTGGGATGAAGACAATGTGAGGAGAGTCACTTTGATTTATAGCTCCAACAATTATGAAGCCTCTTAGGAATAGGGCAAGAAAGCATTTTACTGTGTCTCGACTCCAAGAACTATAATGACATCTTTTAAAATTTCATTATTCTTTTTGTTTTTTTGAGACGGTGTCTCTCTCTGTCGCCCAGGCTGGAGTGCAGTGGCGCAATCTCGGCTCACTGCAAGCTCCACCTCCTGGGTTCACGCCATTCCCGCCTCAGCCTCCCGAGTAGCTGGGACTACAGGCGCCCGCCAGCACGCCCGGCTAATTTTTTTGTATTTTTAGTACAGACGGGGTTTCACCGTGTTAGCCAGGATGGTCTCGATCTCCTGACCTCGTGATCCGCCCGCCTCAGCCTCCCAAAGTGCTGGGATTACAGGCGTGAACCACTGCGCCTGGCCTTAAAATTTCATTATTCTATTTACAATATAAATAGCAATACTAAGCCAACGTAAGCGGATATTGTCAGTGTTGCACGCTTTATTAGAGCTTCTTGGAAGATAGACATAAACACAACCTGCCATCCAGCCGTGTCCACGTGATGGCTTGGAGAGGCTTTTGCTTCAGCAGCCAGTCAGTACTAAGCATATTTCTTTTTCTTTTCTTTTTTTTTTTTTGAGATGAAGTCTCGCTTTGTTGCCCAGTCTGGAGTACCTCTGCCTCCTGGGTTCAAGCGATTCTCCTGCCTTAGCCTCCTGAGTAGCTGAGATTACAGGCAGGTGCCACCTTGCCCGGCTAATTTTTTTTATTTTTATTTTTAGTAGAGATGGGGTTTTACCATGTTGGCCAGGGTGGTCTTAAACTCCTGACCTCAGGTGAACCACCCACCTCAGCTTCCCAAAGTGCTGGGATTACAGGCATGAGCCACTGCACCTGGCCGATTGAATGTATTTTTCTATGAAGACCTTTTCCCTGTTTTATGAAGCATCAACTGTGCATTCTGGGTGGAATAACAAATCTGAGTGGAATACTTACTATTTACTTGTTATGTGCTTCCTAGAACATGTTACAAATTCTTATTTATTTTTTGTGCTGTATGCTATAGCATCCCAAACATCTGTGATGCTGTGTTACACTAGAGACAACATTCTCAGGCTTGCATGCACACTCACATACACATGTGCACACACACCCTCATAACACACAATTACTCCCTCCACAAGTCAATCAACCAATCATTTATACAACTTCATCCCATAGAGTGTTCTTTAAATTTCAAGCCCATGAAGGATGGTGAATTCTCAAAGCAATTTCATTGCAGAGGGCAAAACGAGCTGTCAGAACTAGTATAGGTTCTATTAAGGGTAAGATAAAGTAAACTCTAATCAGGGCCAGTAAGAAAAAGCTAACTACGAGAAGCTTGAGAAAGATAAACGTTTGCCTGGCCAACACGGCGAAACCCCGTCTCTACTAAAAATACAAAAATTAGCTGGGTGTGACGGAGCACACCTGTAATCCCAGCTACTCGAGGGGCTGAGGTAGGAGAATTGCTTGAACCCGGGAGGTGGAGGTTGCAGTGAGCCGAGATTGCGCCACTGCACTCCAGCCTGGGAGACAGAGCGAGACTCCATCTAAAAAAAAAAAAAAAAAAAAGAAAGAAAGAAAAACGTTTGCATCCTAGGGGGCTATTTAACCAAAAGGTGTATGGCTCCTGTGAGCTCCAGATAGTGGCTTGTGAACCTCTGATATTAGAAAGGATAAGAAATCATCCGTTTCTGTACTGAGCCTCAAAGAGAAGACTCAGCCCTAGTTAGGAAATACAAACAAGACCTATTTCCGCTAAATTGGCAAAGCCACCAATCAGAGCCATATAGACTTTGTGTGGTCAAGCTTCCCACCACTGATTTCATGACTCCTAACGGTAGAATTCTGTCCTGTGAGGCTGAGAATGAACATCTAACTTTAAGAAATACAGCAGAGGCCGGGCACGGTGGCTCACGCCTGTAATCCCAGCACTTTGGGAGGCCGAGGCAGGCGGATCACGAGGTCAGGAGATCGAGACCATCCTGGCTAACACGGTGAAACCCCGTCTCTACTAAAAGTACAAAAAATTAGCTGGGCGGGGTGGTGGGCACCTGTAGTCCCAGCTACTGGGGAGGCTGAGGCAGGAGAATGGCGTGAACCCGGGAGGCGGAGCTTGCAGTGAGCCAACATGGTGCCACTGCACTCCAGCCTGGGCAACAGTGCAAGACTCCATCTCAAAAAAAAAAAAAAAAAAAATCAATCTACTCCTTGCATCATGTGTGACATTTTAATTACCTAGGCAGCTTATCAGGACATAATGAAGCAGCTGCTATGATTATAGAATTTTGTCCCAATTATTTACAAAGCTGCTCAGCTACAGAAATGTCTCATTGTCATATCCAGCATGCTTAGGTTCTAGAGCAGGTGTTAAGCCTGATTTACTGGCCAAATCAGAAAATTATTCCATGGCCGTCACTTTTTCTTTGGAGCCAAAAGATTAAAATTTAAGTTATTCTCTGAAAGTGTGATTTTTTTTTTTTTTAATCTTGATTGTCTTCTTCCGGCTATCAGCTATCTTTCCTCGTCGTCCTGAAGGTCTTAATGTTTCCCTGGTTTCATTCTCTGTCTTCTTGGTGTTATCAAACTCTGCTCTATCGGCACCCTTCCAACAGGTGAGTATGCAATATTCTGATTCTCCCAAAGGATAAGATGAAGCGTTTGTAGCAAAATGCTTTTCACAGACCCCTAGTAATACTTTTTTCCAAGCATAATGAATACCGACTATGCGCCAGGCAATGAGATAAAAATACTCATATTTTTTTCTAGTAGGAATTCTAAAATTAGATTCTGATTGCTAAGCAGAAAACAGTTCTTTTAAGGCTACCTCTAAATTGTGGTGCTATATGGTTGCTGAAATCCATAAAACAGTATAAAAAGGTCAACTGTTAAATTAATCTTTGTGATTGATTATTGCTGTCCTTGCAATAATCTGGTTTAAGTTAGAAGTTGCATTGTGGCTTTAGTTTTAAATCGTCACAGAATCCCTTCCATATGCTTTTACAGAAAAGAGAGTATGATATTTTAAAAGAAGTTCACATGGAACATTCTCTAGGGAGGTAGACATATTGTGTGGGCCTAAATGGATGAATTTACAGGATGCTGGAACTTGGAGAAAGTGGTCAAAAGTAGCTATCACTGCAAGTTACCTAACATTACTACCTTGAGGCCGGGGAAGTTGGAGATAAGAATGAGTGCTTCCAAATAAAAAGCAGATGGAAGAAAGGGACCTATATGGATAAGAGATGAATGAGTTTCTACTGAGGAGGCCATGCTTATGTTCCCATTGTGACTGGGATGGCTGAGATACAGTACTTCCTCTAGTGAAGGTATAAAACAAAAGTTATTTTTCTCATTAAAAAAAAGTTACACTTTAACACAAAGGGGAACCAAATTTACTTACAAACAAAACAAGTAAGGATAGACAGGGTCACACCCCCATGGCCTGAATTTGCATAATGTTGTCCTTTTAGATTAAGAAGAAATGTGTGCTGATGAATTGTTCATTTTTATTCAGAGCACAGAAATCTAGTTTCAGAAAAGAAGTGTAGGTCTACTTGAGTCATAATGTTTTCTTATTGAATAACATGCATTCATTTCAGAACTAAATGCATTTAGTTTATTGGGAATAATGAAGTAATTCTTGGAAGAGGGCGAGGAAAGTGGACAGCATGTTTTATTCTGGTGTTGATTTGCTTGGATGTTCCACAGACAGTCCAAGCTTTTTGTAGGTCAGAGAAACATCCTTAACCTGGGGCAAACTTTGACACCCAGCAGATGCCTTCAATCCTCTTTATCTATCATAGTGTCTGTTTTTCTGTGGTCTCTTTTACTACTTCAGGTTTGCTATTAATGATTATTTGAACTCATTTCCTCAGTATACAATTGGGGGAGGAGTGGAGAAGATTAATGTCATAGTGTCATTTTTTCCCTGTATTTTGTGGGTCTGACCTCGAATTCTGATCCTTATACTCTCTTAAGTTTATACATGGATAGAATGTTGTATCAGAATGTACTTATAATGGTTGCCTTTACTAAGAGTATATTAATTATGGGTTGAGCTTATAATTAATTGACTTCATGATTGTAAAAGTGAAGGGCCTGGTATTACACCGAACTGCTTCTTAGCACAAAGTAGGAACTCAATATATATGAGTGGAATGGATGAATAAAAGTGAGTATAAATAAACCATGACTGCTAAGATGAACCACTGTTCAATTGTAAACAATGCAAGATAACCCAATCGTTTTGACATTATGAGGGACGTGCATCTTTTCTTGAGAAATGGGGTGAGACATTAAGTCAGGGGCCTGATATGAGGAAGTGGTAGATTCATTTGTACCAGCTGTTTAGTGACAATGAGAAGAGATTACAGAAGTCCAGTGTGTCTAGACTAGGCCACATGTGATTTTTATCTTAAATCTGATAGTGGCATGCCAGTTAGGACACATCATTCGGCAAGATGTAATTGATATCTCAGGTCTGGGAAAAAACCTTAAATTGTTTTGTGCTCTTCTGAGTGGCTAGTATGCAAGCCCGCACATTTAAGATTGACATCACTTTTGAGGGTGTTTCTGCCCCTGAGTAGGGACCTGCCACATGGTGGCAAATGTGTTTCTGTGAAATACTTTCCCAGCCTGTATTTCATGGACTAGTCCTAGGTGGTCTTTGCAAAATAGAAAAAAGCTGTGTCCATGTTCAATGATTCAATGTATTTAGAAAATTGCCATACGTTTCAAATCGAGCCCTTGGGCTTTGGAATCAGGCAGGGCTGGGTTCCCAGTTGGCAAGTTTGCAAACTGTGTCATCCTGGGAAAGTAACTTAGCCTCTCTGAGTTTCAGATTCGTAATATGAAAAATAAGAATAATAACACCAAATTTTGGGGACTGACTGATGATTAAACAGGATTCCATATCCATATCATATTTAAGCAATTTTAGTGGTAGCCTATAGTAACTAAACTATAAATATTAGTGATTACGACCATTATTATGATTAGTATTGGTTTCTTTCTCTTGGGTATTTAAAATAGACATAAGGAACTCTGACGAATCCCAAGGTGAAGAAGTCACTGACTTGCCTTAACCAGCAGTTTCTCACTCTATTTGACCAAAGGTCTGGCTTTTTCACTTAGCATGAAGATGCCATGTCCCCTGCAGCACCTTTTGAGAAAACATCTAAGTGCACTACTTCTCAAAATTCAGTGTCCCTTCAAGTCTCCTGGGTGTCTCGTTAAACTGAAGATTCTGATTGATTAGGTCCAGGTGGGCTCAAGACTGTTTCTAAAAAGCTCCCGTGTGCTGCTGATGCTGCTGGTTCGTGGACCTCATTATAGGTAGCAAGGACTGGGAGCCCGTGACTATGGTACCTGCATGTCTGAAGTTTATATGTGGATGATTTCTTTCTTTCTCTTTCTTCCTTTCTTCCTTTCTTTCTCCCTCTTTCTTTCTTCCTTCCTTCCTTCCTTTTTTTCTTTCTTTCCTTCCTTCCTTCCTTCTTTCTTTGTTTTGTTTTGAGACTGAGTTTCGCTCTTGTTGCCCAGGCTGGAGTACAATGGCACGATCTCAGCTCACCACAACCTCCGCCTCCCAGGTTCAAGCAATTCTCCTGCCTCAGCCTCCCAAGTAGCTGGGATTACAGGTGCCCACCACCATGCCTGGCTAATTTTGTATTTTTGGTAGAGACAGGGTTTCTCCATGTTGGTCAGGCTGGCCTGGAACTCCTGACCTCAGGTGATCTGCCCACCTCGGCCTCCCAAAGTGCTGGGATTACAGGCATGAGCCACTGTGTCCGGCCAGATGATTTCTTTTAGATGAGATAATTGCATATCAGCATTAGGGAAAAAATACCATCTCAATGGAAAATGATGATGGGAGTATGTGGAAAGGAAAGAAACTAGTAGTCTACCATTTTATGTGGGTCTGTCTCTACCCTTCTGGACTGTAAATTCTCTGAGGAGGCAGATGTGTTGGTTTCCTCACTGCTCTATCCCAATGCCCATGGCTTTTCTTGGCATAGCATAGACAGATACATACATATTAAATGACTGAATGAATGAATAAATGAATGAATGAACGACAGGACACCGAGTCTTTTCATCCTGGGAGTCCCATTACATGCCACATCCCAGAGGTTGGCGGGAAGCCATACTGTGGTAACTGAAAGATATGTACAAGATTAGGATTTAGGCAGCATACGAAAGCCTTACTTTTATGCTTTATTTATTGAAAGTACTCTCTATTTTTTGTTAAAAGTCTGTACTGCTATTCTCCTGATAAGTGTATTGGCCAGTGAGGCCTTCCTGCCCTTATTTTAGGAAACTTCAGGAGCACCTTTTCCATGGTGGGACCACAAAGGCAGTTTTCCATCAGAGTAATTCCACAGTGAGCTCAAGGAAGGGTACAAGGATGGATTGAATAATTTCTCTTACAGCTCCTGAAGCTCTCTACAAGGGAGTATTTTCTTATTAGTGTTATCACAGCTCCTGGAGGATAATAGACAATCAACTGAGGAGGTCCTCAAATGAGATTTCTCACAGATTTGCTCATCAGTGTGGTGCAGGTTCATAGCTTTAAATCTCACCAAAGATAGTTTATGTTTGTGGCTCAATGCAAATTGTTTTGCCCACATCTAAATTTATTTCCATTTTATTTGTATTGGTCTCTACTTCTAAAAAGCTTTTAGTGCAGAATCATCGAGTTGACTTGGAAGTTATCTTTCTGTGCATTTAGACTTTATGAATTAGAAGACTAAATGGTATATTTTAAATGGATATAAAAAATCAAATGAATAAAATAGGCCATAATTCAGCTTTGTTTAGAATGAATATTGTCTCAGTTCACTTGGGCTACTATAACAGAATGTCACACCTGTGTGCTTCTCAAAAACCAACATTCTCCCCCCACAGTACTGGAGGCTGAAAGTCTAACATTAAAGCAGCAGAAGGTTCG
Source organism: Homo sapiens (assembly GCF_000001405.40). Taxonomy (NCBI): domain Eukaryota; kingdom Metazoa; phylum Chordata; class Mammalia; order Primates; family Hominidae; genus Homo; species Homo sapiens. The sequence continues at coordinate 924,454 of NW_025791814.1, read as the reverse complement.
GCATCTGGTTAGGGCCTGCTTCCTGGTTCGTAGATGGTCATCTCCTCCCTGTATTTTCTCACAGTGGAAAGGAAACAAGAGCACTCTCTGGAGTCAATTCTATCAGGGTACTAATCCCATTCCTGAGGGCTTCCATGAATTAATCACCTCCCAAAGGCTCCATCTCTGAATAACATCACATTGGGGGTTAGGATATCAACAATGAACTTTGGGGAGGCACAGATATTCGGCCCATTGCAAATATATTTGTGCAAAGGAGATTCTAATAAATGTTGACTTGTTTCTGTATGTTAATCCAAAGCACGTTGTATTAGTCCGTTTTCACACTGCTGATAAAGACATACCTGAGACTGGGTAGTTTATAAGAAAAAAGAGGTTTAATAGACTCATAGTTCCATGTGGCTGGGGAGGCCTCACAATCATGGTGGAAGGTGAAAGGCACGCCTTACACGGCAGCAGACAAGAAAGAATCAGAGCCTAGCGAAAGGGGTAACCCCTTATAAAACCATGAGATCTTGTAAGACTTATTCACCACCATGAGAACAGTATAGGGGAAACCGCCCCCATGATTCAATTACCTCCCACTGGGTTTCTCCCATAACACATGGGGATTATTACAATTCAAGGTGAGATTTGGGTGGGGACACAGAGCAGAACCATATCACATGTTTTTGTATATTCTCTAATAAAATGAATAATAAATAGTTATAAATATATAAAAATATTTATATATTTTTGTATATATTTATAAATAAAATAATAAAAGATGAGTTATTTTATAAATTTGTTTTAAAAGAAAATTTTCTTTTAAAATATTTTCTTTTCTCCAAAAATATTGCATACCTATTAGATTATATACAGAAGCAAATTTGACCTTTCCAATTTTTTAAAGGTCTGTATGTGAAGAAAGAGAAGAATGCGATTTTTTAGGCTACTTTGAGCTATGCTCCCCAGAGTTCTTTAGGAAGCAATGGATTCTTCAAATTGGGCATCCTTAAAGCATCACAGTCATTTGCCTTCAACAATGCAGTGCTCATGGACATATGAAAGACATTTTAATGCAGTTTTACATGTGACAAGTTGAAAGCGTCTTCCAAGAGTTCCACCACACTGGTGCTGTCCACTCCATTGCTCGGGATTCTTTGCAGTGATTTTTGAGAGGTGTGGGCCTTTTCCTCTTTATGTGTCACGTGACTCCACAGATGCCTTTCCTGTGTCACCCGCAGCAGATATTACTTTCCCAATTAAAGTCCTTTTAAAGAATGGCTTTTCTCCAAAAGTGGAACTGAGGCCTTTTAGTGGTTTCTTGCTATTTTTGACACACATACATGTATGCATGCACACACACACACGCACACACACGTACACACACATGCAGATAGTAGCAGGTTTAAAGCTACACATTCCACATCAATTTCTCCCCATCCCTGGCTTCCAAGTGCACGGTTTGGTATTGCTGTCTGTGTTACACAGGTTATTGCTGCAATCCCATGTGCCGGTGCTGGTCAACACTGAAGAGCTGTGCCCGCACCTCATCTATTGTAAATCAGTGCCAGCCTTAGGGTAAATTACCTTCCTGGAGTGAGAACTGTAACCTGCTAATGCTGCTATGTAACAGTCTCAGCAATGTCTGACTCCTTCTTCGGAATGTTGTTATTGAATTAGGTGTTATCCAATGTCCACTTTTACACTCTCCCTTCTCTCTTTTCTGTAAAGAATTTGGTTGCATTGTTTGTCTCAAGGATGAAGAAAAATACCAATAAATACCACCAGCAACCTCCCCTGGCAGGTTCAGGACATAAGCTCCATAATCTGAATTTCCCTCCTATGTTTCATGAAGGTAGATGATGTAATCCCTATGTGATCCGCCTCAGGGCAGTCATGTTAAAGTGTGACCCACCTGAATTCTCAACTAAAATTTACCATACAAAAATAAGTGGAAGGTCACTTGCATTACGGAGAAGCAATTCTTAATATGACACTTATTTATTTAATAAGTACAGACTGAATCCCAGCTATGTACAAAGCAGAAAGTGATTTTTTTTTATTTATTTTATATTTATTTATTTTTTAGACAGGGTCTCACTCTATGGACCAGGCTGGAGTGCAGTGGTGTGATCATGCCTCCCTGCAACCTCAACCTCCTGTACTCAAATGATCCTTCCACTTCAGCTTCCCGAGTAGCTGAGTCTACAGGTGCATGCCACCATGCCCTGGCTAATTTTTTGCATTCTTTGTAGAGATGGGACTTCACCGCATTGCCCAGACTAGTCTCAAACTTCTGGGCTCAAGCGATCCTCCCGCCTCGGCCTCCCAACATGCTGGGATTTCAGGCTTGAGCCACTGCGCCCAACCAGGAGGTAATTTTAAAACTCACAAGCCACACTTCCTTTCTGTGAGAAGTTTGTAATTTAGGATGAAAACTAAGATGCTTAGGCTAATAATTAAAATGAAAGCCCATTACCGATTCAAAGTAAAATAGAAGTTAAGAAAGGCAGAGGCCACTTATGGTCAGTTGGTTAGGAAATAGTTGCTGGACGTGATACCATTGGAGTTGGGCTTGGAGAGTGGGGCTTAATTTCTGGCAGGACTAGAAGAGAAGGTTTTTTTTTTTGTTGTTTTTTGTTTTTGAGATGGAGTCTCGCTCTGTCGCCCAGGCTGGAGTGCAGTGGCGTGATCTCGGCTCACTGCAAGCTCCGCCTCCCGGGTTCACGCCATTCTCCTGCCTCAGCCTCCCGAGTAGTTGGTACTGCAGGCGCCCGCCATTGCGCCTGGCTAATTTTTTTTTTCTTTTTTTTTTTTTTTTTTGTATTTTTAGTAGAGATGGGGTTTCATCGTGTTAGCCAGGATGGTCTCGATCTCTTGACCTCGTGATCCGCCCACCTCGGCCTCCCAAAGTGCTGGGATTACAGGCGTGAGCCACCGCGCCCAGCCAAGAGAAGGTATTTAAAGTAGAGGAAAATGGGAAGAAGATGCAGTAGCTTGACCATTTAATGATGAAACCTAGTGCAGTTTGGCTACAGAATGTAAGTAGGACATAGCTGAGGTCTGTTGAGAAGCAATAATGGCCTGGGTTGGGGTGGTTTCTATGGAAATGCAAAGAAAAGTTAATTAGCTCACAGCGTGAGCTTAGTACATTCATCTCTCTGTATGTGTGGGGGATTGGTTTCGGGACCCCCAAGTATACCAAAATCCAGGCATACTCAAGTTCAGAAGTCAGCCCTATATAACCTGCATATAAAAAAAGGTTGTATACTTCAGTTTTCCATCCCTCAAATACTGCATTATCAAGCTACGTGTGGTTGAAAACAAATCTGTGTCTAAGTGGACTTGTGTACTTGAAATCCGCATTGTTCAGAGAGTCAATTGTATGTACATTGGAAGAGTGATTGCAGTAATGAATGCTATTTACTAATCTGATGTTCTGCCGTTCTATATGCTGGAAAGTAAACACATGATAAAATTTAAAATGTACAAAATGGGCCAGGCACGGTGGCTCATGCTTGTAATCCCAGCACTTGGGGAGGCCAAGGTGGGCAGATCACTTGAGGCCAGGAGTTTGAGACCAGCCTGGCCAACATGGTGAAACCCCATCTCTACTATTTTTAGTAGAGATGTTAAAAAATTACCCGGGCATGGTGGCACGCTCCTGTAATCCCAGCTACTCTGGAGGCTGAGGTGGGAGAATTGCTTGAACCCCGGAGGTGGAGGTTACAGTGAGCCAAGATTGTGCCACTGCACTCCAGCCTGGGTGACAGGGTGGGACTCCGTCTCAAGAAAAAAAAAAATGTTACTATTAATAATTCAAGAGATACATGTTAAACATCTTGTTTTGATTTTGTGGAATTTAACTACATCAATCGCCTGAAATATGGCCACAGAAATATTCTAGTATTATACCATATTTAGTGTACATAAACAATTCAAGTACTAGTCTGCTAGGGTCCCATAACAAAGTACTTCAGACTAGTGGCTTCAACAACAGAAATTTATTTTCTCACAAACCTGGAAGCTGGATTTCTGAGACCAAGGTGTCAGCGAAGCTGGACTCTCCTGAGGCCATTCTCTGTGTGTCTTTATAGGCCCACCCCTCTACATGTTCCTGCATCCTCATCTCTTCTTTTTGTAAGGACACCAGTCAGATTGGAACAGGACCCACCCATATGACTTCGTTTTACCTTAAATACCCCTTTAAAGACCCTATCTCCAAACACAGTCACATTCTGAGCAACTGGGGATTAGAAATTCAACACATGAATTTTGTGGGGACACATTTCAGCCGGTAACACTCCACACACTTGACTTTTCAAGTTTCTTATAATATTTTTAGTTCATAAATAGGATAACAGGAGATATATATATATATATATATATATACACACACACACACACACACACACACGTTTATATTTGGAAATAGGTGAGGCACAAAATTATAAATGGTAAGTAAAATACTGAAACCCAAGTCACCTTTACAAAGTTTAGGTGGCCAAGAGGTTGCATGTCAGTTTCTAGAGCCTCATCATGCCAGTATGCAGGTGGGTGGTCCCTTAGCTTCTGATAGAAAGAACATGGGCTCTGGAACTTTGTTTGGAAAGAACACGTGCTTCAGCACAACTTGCATTTAAGGCCAGATTCTGCTATTTACAAGCAGTGTGACTTGTCTGGCTCTGCTTCCTTGACATTCAAATGGAGACGATGACATCTACATCTGCGATTGTTATAATTGAGAAGATGCATGTAGAAAGCCCTAGGCTCCTAACTCTGCTTGTAAAGGTGAGATTCCTACATGGTGTGAATGAGGACACACTTCTGAATTTGATCTGTACATCAGGTGTCTGTTTTTTCCTTCCCATGGATATAGCTGTATATATAAATCTTAGTTGTCTTTTTTAAAGAAAACCCAAGCTCCTTACCATCTGGTCTCTGCACACCTTCCTTACCCCACCCAGCCCTCTGCTCACTATGCAGTGGCCACATGGGCATTTTTCTATTCCTTGGTGATACCCAGGTAATTCCACTTCAGGCTCTTTACACTGCCATCCCTTTGCCAGGCCCGGCTGTCCCTCCAGGTCACTCAAGTCCTGGCTAAGGGTCCTTCACTTACTATGTATTCTGAAGTCACCTCCCATCAACTCACCTATTTTATTTTCCTCTTAACTTTTTATCATATAAAATTATTTATTGATTTGCTTTTTATACCATTTGTCTTCCTCACCTTTCCCCACTGGAATGGCAGATCCATGAGGACAGCAGCTTCGCCTCTCTTATTCCCTATTGTAAACTGGAATAGTGCCTGAATTTGATACGCATGCAATGAGTACTTTTACAAGAAAATGTTATAAATGTGTAACAGCATTGAAGGGTATAAACTTCCTTCAGATAAATTTGGCAATACATATTAAAAATTAATACTGACGTCTGAACCAAAATTTCTCTTCGTCAGAATCCATTCCATGAAATGATTGAGGAAGTTTTTAAAAAGTTTAAGTGTGTTTATCATCAGTCAGTCAGGCTATGGTAATAACATCCTAATAGCCCGTCTTGCCTCTCTCTACTCTCCTTCTTTCATACTTCAGCCCAAAATACCTTTCATTCCCATTTTTAAAAATACACCAAAATGATCAAGGTTAAAAAGTCAAAAGTCTAATATAGTAGAAAACAATAGTTAGCTATTCCATCTTTTCTGAGCCCTTCCATGGGCAGGATTATTCAAACACAAGTTTAGTCTACTCACACTCTTTTTTTTTTTTTTTTTTTTTTTTTTTCTGTTTTTGAGATGGAGTTTCGCTCTTGTTGCCCAGGCTGGAGTGCAATGGCACGATGTCAGCTCACCGCAACCTCTGCCTCCCGAATTCAAGTGATTCTCCTGCCTCAGCCTACCGAGTAGCTGGGATTACAGGCATGCACCATCATGCCTGGATAATTTTGCATTTTTAGTAGAGATGGGTTTTCTCCATTTTGGTCAGGTTGGTCTCAAACCCCCGACCTCAGATGATCCACCCTCCTTGGCCTCCCAAAGTGCTGGGATTACAGGCATGAGCCACCATGCCCGGCCCACATTCTTTATGATTTTTGATATACTGAACTTCTTTTCACACCTTACTTTTGACTTCTATTTGTCACACTTTATCATCCTTATACATCCTTCTTTCTTTGTTTAATAAGTTTTTCTTTTTTACTTTTACTGTACTTACTTAGAATGTATATATTCTATTTCCATTTATTTAGATGTTACCTTGGAAATTTACCATGTACATTTAAATTAGCAAAAGTCTGCAATTAAGCAATAACCTAAGCACCTTCTTCCATGAAAAGCAAACAAAAAACAAAAGCAGGTTTTGGAGCATTTTGATTCTGAACACTCACCTCAAAACCTACATGCTTCTGGGCCAGGCACGGTGGCTGGGTGACAGAGCAGGACTCCGTCTCAAAAACAAAGAAACAATCAAACAAAACTTACATGCTCCTGTTGTTTTCTCTACTTCTATATATTTATTTTTTTTTAACCCAGATACTAGGTATTATTTTATTATTAGCTTATTCAGATGTTATTTCTTTGGATTTGCTTACTGTTTTATAATTTCATTTGTTCATTCTTACTTGGATCCCAAACCATCTTTTTAAGGTCGTGTTCCTTTTTCTTGAAGCATATCCTTTAGAATTTTCTTTATTTCAGGTTTCTTTGTGGCATACCCTCTCAGTTTTTGTTATCTTTACCCATCCTTGTTTTATCTTTTTCATAAAAGAGTATTTGGCTGGGCACACAATTCTGTACTGACTATATATTTTCCCTTTGTACTTTGGAGGTAAAATATCATTATCTTCTAGCTTTCATTAGTGCTGTTGGAAAGTCTGAAGTCATTTAAATTGTTTCCTTTTTGTAGGCTGTTTGTCCTTGCTCTATGGCTTCATTTAAGATCTCCTCTTTGTTTTTGATGTTCTGTAATTTTGTCAAAGTGTGTTTGGACACAAATTTCTTTTTATATATTCTGATTTTATTTATCTCAGTATATTGTACTTTTGGGATTTTTAATACATATTTTCTGATAGTTCTAAAAATTGTATCTTTTTAATGATTTTCTTTTATATTCCTGAGATTCCAGTTAGTTATCTATTTAGTCTTCTCATTCTGTATTTTATTTATCTTAGTGTCTCTTTCACATTCTTCATCACAATTCTATTTTTGTCTTACAAATAGATTATCTCCTGGAATTCTTAATGATGATGATGATGATTATTTTCGTTTTCTCCCGTTTTCTGAATTGTGTTTCATCCAACGTTTGTATTTTTATATTTGTTGCCTTGGTCTTCCTCCTTCATGATGCAAGCATTCCTTGAATATCTGATGGCTGTTGATTTCCATTTATATTAAAGATTGAGCAGATAGGAAGGAAACTTATATAAGTGGGCAAGGGTTATGGAATAGTCTTTGTTGCTTTATGATGTGCTGTTGTCTGAAGGTTTTCGGCTCCCACCAAATTTATATGTTGTAACCTAATCCCCAATGTGATGGTAGTAAAAGGTGCAGTCTTTGAGAGGTGATTAGGTCATAAGTGTGGAGCTCTCATCAGTGGAATTCGAGCCCTTATAAAAGAAGCCCAAGGGAGCTCATTGGCCCCTTCCATCATCTAGGGACACAGCATGAAGGCGCCAACTATGAGCAATGAACCCTCACCAGACACTGAACCTGCCAGTGCCTTGATCTTAGACTTCTTGGCCTCCAGAACTGTGAGAAATACATGTTGTTTATAAGTCATCCAGTCTATGGTATTTTTGTGAAAGCAGTCCAGCAGACTAAGATATAGTGAGAGAGATCGGTGCTTCAGAATCTGCTGACATCTTTTGGTTGCTGACAGCTTTTCCTGTTTTCTTTGCCATAATGATTTTCCCTCTTTTCTTAGCTCATTACTCTTATTTTAAGGAAGCTTAAAGGGAATATCAATAGCTCATTCTACCATCTTGAATTAAAAGCCACATGTAATTTTTTAAGAAGAACACTCTCATTATATTAATCTCTTGCTTGAAATATGCTCCTTGCTGCCCATTGCTCATAGAACAAAGACCAGGATCCTTACGTTGGTCCCCAAGGCCCTGAACAGCCTTCTCCCCAGAGAATTTCCACCTTCACCTTAAATCATGCTCCATCTGGCTTTCTGTGCTCTTTTCTCTTCTGCTAGTCCACAATGACTCCTCCTGTCTAAGGGATGTGCACACATCATATGCTCTCTGTCTGCAGGGCCTTTCTCCTTCCTCTGGCCCTCACAACCCCTGCTCCACAACTGCAACCTCCTAATAGATCAATTTACCCTCTTGTATTATCTCAGAGCATCAGAGATCTTCTTTGTAGTACTTATCAAAGTTGTGATTTTTCTTTCATTTCTATGACTATTTGATTAAATCTGTCTCATCCGCAAATAGAAGTGGGCAGCTGATCATAATCCTGAAAGACACAGTACCTAGAACACCATAATCTTGAATGTTGAAATCCTAGAAAGTCAAAATTTGCAAAGTCTAAAATCCTGAAAATAACAACACTGAAAGATCAAATCCCCAAATTATAATTCTGGAAGAAATAATATAAAAAATTATATTAGAGGTATTTATTTATATTTTTAAAGGGGGATTTATTGGAAAAACATAAAAACATCATCGAGAAACATGATAGGCCACTTTACACAATAAAATAAGCAATAATAACATAAATATTTTTGCAAGCATAAACACTCAGGTATACTAATGATAGTCACATGAGCATAACAGTTAGGAACAGACAGCACATATTCATAAAGAAACAGGCTAAAAAGGGAAATGTATAAATTCACATCACTATGGTTGGTTATTGTGTGCACCCAGCTTTCTAACTACAGTCGTCTGAAATACCATGATGAACAACCTTAGTCTTTTGACGAGTCAATCAAAACTGCAAAGGTTCGCCACCGCATTTGCAATCGCCCAAAGAACCAAGATCTCCAGAAATTGCATCTTTCACAGATACAAATGTACAAAAAGGACATCTCTTCATTTATTGAGGAAGTTCCAATGTTTATACTTTGAGAACCAGGGATGCCGACGATGTGTCTCTCAGTCCAAGGTTGAAAACCTCAGGATCCTGGGAGCTGCTGGTGTAAGTTCCTAGAGTCCAAAGGTTGGCGAACCTAGAGTTCTGATGTCCAAGGCAGCAGAAGAAACATCTGTCCCAGCTCTCAGAGAGAGGGATCTGTGCCTCAGAATCCGTTGTAAGCTTTTGTTGCTGACAGCTTTTTCCAATTTGCCTTCTGTATTTGTTCTTTCCTGGTGCCCAGCGAATTGGATGGTGCACCTGACAACATGGAAGGCAAATCTTCCTCACTTAGTCCACCCAGATTCATACGGTAACCTCTTCTGGAAATACCCTCACAGACACACTCAAAATAATACTTTACCAGGTTTCTAGGTATTCCTTCAGTTCTTAATCAAGTTAACACCTAACATTAAGTCCACTGGTGACCACATTAAGTCACTACTGGTCAACGTGGGTAACTTGGCACCCATATTCCTCGCCTTAAACCATGCTTAATAACAAGATGGCTAGATCTGCCTAACATGATGCAACTATTTTCTGATAGTGATTTTCAAGATTTTAGATATTAGGGATTTTAGGCTTTAGGGATTTGAACTTTGAGATTTTTGGTCTTTAGGGATTTCAATCTTTCAGGATTTCAATTTTTGGGATCATGGCATTTGTGATTGTGTCTTTTGGGATTATGATACAAACCCAACAAGGGGTCAGATTGGGTTTGAAAATGAGCAAAATTATTTTGTAAAAATTATAATTATATGTTATATAATTATTACATAATAATTTTGCTCATTTTCATTCCTTAGTCTCCATGTAGTGAATGAATGCATAACTGAATGAGAGATGAATAATAGCAGTAAAGGACCTTGGATGGTTTATCTTATGCTATTTTTTGAGGATATTCAGGAGATCTTTGTTGAATCTGTTCCATGATCATGGTAAGATGTTTAAGCTGAATCTCAGACTCACCGAGATAGAAGTAAGTGATGATGAAGTAAGTGATAGAACTAAGTGATGATGAATGTGGCTTCCAGTATGAACATGACTTATTTATGTCTAATAATGTGTTCCATTTGTACAGAACTTTAGGCTTTTTAATATAGTTTCACATATTCAGATTAATTTTATCTTCATATTTTTATGAGACATTTTGTTGGTTCATTTAGATGAACTGGAATAAGACTGACTCATGTCTCTGCAGGTTATGAGACACATTTAGAAACGAAGATGCTAGGATCATCAACCACATGGCCAGGCAACAAAGAAGGAAAGGAACTGTCACTCATGTGTACCTTTCCGAAAGTGGAGCCTGGAAGGCTGTTTGAGCTCCCAGGCAGTCTGGAGCCCATGCTGTTCCATTGCTCCTTCATGTACAACCCACGGAGCTTCACCTGACCATTAACTTCACTCAGTTTGATTCCCAGCACACCAGCCTCTGTCTATGTCTCTCTCACATCACTTTCCACTATGAATTATGCTTGTTCTTCCCCTCTATCACTTCTATGCTCTTTCACTCTACATCTTTTATTAAAATCTCAGAGAGAGAGAAAAAAGATTGGTCTTAGGGCAGAACTCTCATAGTAACTAAGTCACAGGCCGCCTGTCCTGTATGATGTGGTGTGCAAAGCACTGTTGTCTTAAAGTGCTCTGGAAGCTCCCTTCTGGTTGTTGGACAGCATCTCAGCTAGCACTTCCCCTTGTTCCCAGTGGGGAAGCCTCAACCCAATTTCAGCTTCCCATGGGACCAATATCTTCCTTTTTCAGGGTAGGGGGGATGCATCTGAACCCAGCTTCTACTGTGTCTTCAAGGCTTCCGTATTCTGGGGATCTGGACTTTCCAAACAGTTGCTTCAAACAGCTGACATCTAAATTCATCCTGCCTGGTGCCCCGGTAGCTGGATTATTCCCTTACTTACAAGATTGCTCTCACACTTGCCTTGTTTAAAGGGCAGGCAGCCTAGCAGAGGGGAACTTCCCCTAGAATTCACAGCCACACTGCCTGCCCACCACAGTGTCTTGGCCCAAATGCCTTTCTATGGCATCAGAGGGAAAATCAGGGGCCTGTGCTTTCTTTTGCTTACTTACCTTGGCTTGTAGGCACTTTGCTGAAATGTGTTAGGTTGGTGTAGTGGGTTGAACAGTGTTTCCCAAACATTCGTGTTCTCCTGGTACCTCAGAATCTGACCTTATTTTGAAATAGAGTATTTGCAGATGTAATTAAGTTAGGATCTGGAGATGAGATCAGCCTGGACTTACTATAAGCCCTAAATCCAAGGACTGGTGTCCTTCTAAGAGAGAGGAGATGGAAATTTAGACATGAAGACACAGGGAGAAGAAGGCCATGTGAAGACGGAGGTAGAAATTGGAGTTGTGTGTCTACAAGCCAAAGTATGCCAAAGATTGCTGGCAGATACCAGAAGCTAAGAGAGGCATGGGAATTAACACTGCCTACATCTCAATTTTGGACCAAATTTCTATTGTTTAAAGCAACCAGACATGTGGAAGTTTGTTATGGCAGCCCTCAGAAATGTAAACAGCTGGGTTTCCTAGAAGTAGAACCTGAGAAGGGGGTTCTCGTGCGAGGGACTGATGAAGGATTGGTTGAACAAGGGTTAGGTGGGGAGCTGCGTAAGTCAGGGATGTGGTTTCAGCTGGGGACTGGCCTCTGTCTGACCTCACAGGCTGGCTCTGGCGCACAGAGCGCCCTGCAGGGATATGATCCACCTGTGGCAATAGGGCCAATGCTTTGACCCCTAGGTCAGCCAGTTACTGACTGTGGGCTGCTGGGAGTGAGCAATGCCTCCAGCAGGAGCTGCTTTTTATTTGACAGAAGACAGCTCTCCGGGACAGGGTCCACCACCGCGGCGATTATGGCAATCGTTATTTCTTAAGGCAAATCCTGTGAAGTTATGGAATTTGTTACGGGCCCTGGTCCATAATGGTGGCAGCCACGAGAGGACGTGATTTGCGTGAGTAACACCCACAAAGGGAACCACGTTGCACAGCACAGCAGATGCCCACCATTCCGGCAGTTATCTGTATTTGGGAAGGGGGAGGTTGTATGATACAGAGAGGAAGAGGGAATTTGGCTGGGGAGGCCACCAAACCAAGACAGGCAGTTGGACATGGGCAGGGCTCCTGCTGAGGGAACTAAGACAGTTCCTAAAACTGCCTGAGCTCTATGCAGAGCCACCCGCAGCAGGAGGTATAGGACACAGGTCTGACATGCCTATAACTGAGAGGAAAGAGATAGGCAATAACCATTAAATCAGGCTGGGCACAGTGGCTTATGCCTATAATCCCAGCACTTTGGGAGGCCAAGATGAGTGGATCACCTGAGGTCGGGAGTTCGAGACCAGCCTGGCCAACATGGTGAAACCCCGTCTCTATTAAAAGTGCAAAAATTAGCCAGGCACGGTGACGGGTGCCTGTAATCCCAGCTACTCAGGAAGCTGAGGCAGGAAAATCGCTTGCACCCAGGAGGTGGAGGTAGCAATGAACCAAGATCACACCATTGCACTCCAGCCTGGGGGAAAAGAGCAAATCTCCATCTCAAAAAGAAAAAAACAGAAACAAATCACTTTTTAAACCTATTACTAGCAAAACATTTAAAAACAGAAGCTAGAAGTATGTGTTGACACAATAGCACATTTTATCAGCCCTTATTATGAAAATTCTGTGTCAATTCCCGTCCACCTGACTTTGAAGTTATCAGCATGTGTAGCAAAAGTGAATATGTTTCATGGCCTCTTTCCCATGAACGTATTCACATTTTATGAAATAATAAAATTCGCATAAAGATTACATCATAAACTCCAGTCTCCATTTTCCCCTCTTCATTGTATGCGACATACGCACGTTCCCTGAAAATAAAATGTGCGTGTAAAATTAACTGGCTATTTTAGGTTGAGTTCCCAGTGTACCTATTTGGAATGCCTTTCCAAGTCAAAACAGGTTTTGAGGCTGTAACAATAGCATCACAAATAAAACAAGTTGGATTCAGAGTTTTACCTAAAGTAATTGGGAGTAAAAAAGGAATTGTTCAAGGTTCCCCACTATATCTTCATACTTCCTTTCGCTGGCTCTTGATTTACTTAGAGATGCAGTTAAGATGGAAATGAGCCATGCCCAGAGGGATGGAGAAGGCAGAGTGAGTGAGTTCCGGTGTTGCTTTTATGAACCACGCAAGTGCTCTTTGCAGAAACCTGGTCCGGAAGCCTTCCCCCGTGTAGGTGCGGAGAGGAGAAATTGCTCACAGTCTGAAGGAATAGCATGCACAAGAACACATTTTCAAGGGGTTCTGCTTTCAAAACTCCACCTTTCGGGAAAAATGTAAAAGGTGCTTTGAGATGACCTTCACTCTTGTTTATTCCCAATACTCCCTCCTCCATCCGTTTCAATCATTGCAGCTCAGAACTGCGTTATGACAGCAGCCTGAAGAGGAACCCAGGCCTGCCTTATAGGACACCCAGCCCATGGCCTGCTCAATGAAAATACCTGGTAAAATGGGCAGCATGGTTCTATGCTAATGAAAGCTCGTGCCCTTAAGTGGCTTTCTGTCCCTCATGTGGGCTGGGTGGCCTGTCTCCCACTGCGTGAAGCCTACAGCTCTTTACACTGCCCAACTCTGTTTCTTGGTTTAGTTTGACTCTGCAGCTACCCTTGGGCATGCCCTGGAGTCCGGCAGCCTGGGGGTGCTATGCCATGTCCAGGCTGCCTCGTGTTTACCATGATCCCCTTGGCTGCTTTCTTTCTTTCATTCTAAATCTCCTGGAAGTTTCCAGAAGAAAAGACTGCCAACTTCTCACCTTGGCACCCTTTCTACCTCTTCTGTTTTTGCATTTTACTTTTACTTTCAATATGCCTCTGCATCTGTTTAGTAACAACTAAAAAGTTTTCCTAGCTAGGTTATGACTATCTCAGGCTTTGAAGCTCTGTTCTTCTTACCAGCCACATGGTTAGGGCTGCCTAACTAACCTTTCTGTGCCTCAGTTTTTTTCATCTGGAAGATGGGGATCCCATAATAACATTCGCCTCCTGTAGGGTTGTTGTGACAATTAAGTGAGTTTTCACACAAATAAGGTTTAGAGCTGCACCTGGCCATTTGCAGGTGCTGAGTGTTAGCTGTAGTTTCTTTTTCTACACCCCCAACTGTTCTGAAAGACGGTAAGGGCTGTGAGCCCTGACTTGGCCGTTATCAGCAATTTTGACAATATTGCATTCTTTTTCCATGGAAAAAACTCGAATAACTCTTACAGATGAGTTTCAAAGTCAATACAAGATCATCACTGTATTCTACAGTTCCAGACTTGGGTGCAGTATTGGTGCCTAAGCTGGCCAATTTCCTAGCCATTGGAGGTGTGAGTCTCACGGCACTACTTTAATACTTTGATGCTGAGATGCCAATAGAGAAAGAAAATATTGAAAAGTTGAGAAACTGATTCTGAATTTGGTTTTTATATTTTGATAAAAATGAAGAGAAACTAAAAGAATTTAAGGAGACCAGTCTTTTAAGAAATGTTCAAGTCTACTTTTTGTTTTGTCTAGGGAAGAAATGAAGACCAGTTATACAGCAACTCCCTTTTGTTTTTAGGAAGATAATTGGATATAATTTTGAGAATGTTCCTTGGTTTAACCTCGGGGAAGAGTTCAGTGTTATTGTTAAAGAAAAAAAAATGACCTTTGATAAGGCAGTAAGGCAGACTTTATTCAGAGCCATAGAGACCCTGCAATTGCATTTTGAAGTGGGCGAGAGAGATTGGGCACAATTCCAAATACAAAAAACAAATGGGAGTTTATAGCCAGGTAGTGAGGTGGGGATCAGTGGATGGAATATTATTTACAGGAGACATCAAGGGTAAGGGGCATTCTGGCTACATCACCTGAACATGACTCTTGCTGAACACAGACCAGGGTGATCAGACAACCACCTGGGGGTTGGTGAAGGAGAAACCTGATCAGATAGTTAGGGTGATCAGATACCCAGGATAGCCAAACTAAGCAGGATTCTTGCTAAAACTGGAGAAGGCAGAGACAAGAAAAAATGCTCCAAAGTCAGGGCTTAGTTGAGAAGAGCTTAGAGAGGGGCCTGCCTAAAGTCTGGTCAGGGAAAGAGTCTGTCGTGATACACAGTTAAGCACAAGACTCTTGGCAGATGCTATGAGATCCACCTCTCCAGGGATGGTTGAAGGAGGCTGGCTTGGATTTGGGACTCTCTGAAAGGGCTCTCACTGTGAAGACAGCAGGATGCTGACAATACCCACCTGTGTCCACCACAGCATGCAGGCCTCATCTACTTCTCCACCCACCTGTGTCTGCCACAGCATGCAGGCCTCATCTCCTTCTCCCCATGGGTGCAGCACAGCTGGCCAGCTTTGAGGTTGGGGTCATCTGTGGGTCTCTGACCAGAGCTCCCACATTCCCTAAATGGAAAATGAAACCTGAGAATTTTCTGTGCTGCACCATCTTTGCTAGAATACTTGGCTCAGGACCAACTATCAAGAATATGAGAGAACAAGTAGTGTATCACAGAGATGTAAGTGTCAATCCTTGTTCTGGAATGTTCCCTGCAGTGGGGATTCAGCACAGATCATGGCCACTTATAGCCTTGGGAAGTGAGAGCAGAGGGTTGGGGAAGGGCCCCCATGAGCCTTTCAGGTCTAGACTCTAGTGGATTAATAGGAGCAGACATCCCCAGCTGCCCTCTAGAGATAGTTCTAATATTTTAGTCACCATACTACTTCACCCTGACATCAAAGGACGTCTTCAATATGCATCTCTTTGATAATCTCCCCTCTTGGGTGAATTTCAGCCTGTCTCAATTGGGCCTCCACCTTCCTTTTCAAAGAAAATGCCTTGTTTTTTCCTCTTGTTCTATAAGATCTTCCATACCCCTATGCTATATCCGAGGTCTGGTGCTCAACTTCTGTTCTCAGTAACTACTGGCTTTTGTTTCTAACTTTCACTACAATTACAATCAACGCAAGCTTTGGGAAGCCTGCTTTTACCTTGAAGCACTTCCACATCAGGAGGTCTGAGTGCAGAGGTGCTCCTTACAACAGATGGATTGCTGCACTTACCGGGGAAAGGCCATCCTGTGATGTTCACCAAAACTAACAAACACCTGGAAATGGGAATTGTGTTTAATGAAAATAAACTGAAGCTGGCTTCGTTCATTATACCCAAAATATTAGCCATCTCTAATCTTTTCCTCACAGGTTATGCCCTGCAGGAATTACTGGGAGGGATAGAGAAGAATGCTTTCGGTTAGTGAAAGACAAGCTGTAATTGTTGGGAGCACTGGATGAGAAAATGCACATAAAATCACTTGGAAACTTGGATTAGCATGCAGGACAGATAGGTTCTGAAGCTCTTCCCAGAATTATCACACTGCAGCCCCTCAGGGTGGGGGTGGGGGGAGGGGTGTCACCGTAAGGTAATGAGGCAGGTGGGAAGGCCACCTGTCTTGGCTCAGAGCCACTGGGGTGCCATCTGGGTGCAATTCAGGCAGGGGGTGACTGGCCACCTGTCCTGGCTCAGAGCCACTGGGGTGCAATCTGGGTGCAGTTCAGGCAGGGGTGACCATGTTTTCTTTAATGAAGTTATAGCCTATGCTATGTGAAATACCTGGATGATTCCCTAAAATCGACTTTAACAGTGTTTGCCTATATTAGTCAACTTTAGAGTGTTTTATAAGTAGTTTTCCACTTAATCACATTCATTATTCTTGATTTTTTTTCTTTTTGTCCCTGTCACTGAACATTTGCATATGTAGACAAAATAAAATGCTGTATATCTCATAGTGAAACCATGTAACATGCACACACGCACACACACACAGGGAGAGAGAGAAAGAGAGAAAATGGTGAGCCATGTATCAATGATCATAACTGACTAAACTGGCAATGTTAAACTACTGCGGGTTCTACCTCTCAAAGATCCTGAATGTCACAGGTGGCACCATCCGTAGAAATGGTAATTCATCCCGTCAATTAGCTGTGATGCTCAGGACCAAATGTTAGCAAGGCTGGGATTAATAGCAAGTGATCATTTGCATCTGGCATTCAATTGGGAGCTGCCATGAGATGCTCCCACCCTGGGGTCTCTGTTCTAAATATACGACAGGCTGATACTTTGCAGGAAGGTTCATTCTCAAACATAAATAGCACACATGGTCTTTGCATTTTGCCTCCCATCCTAGCTGGAGAAGCTTATTTTGTATGTCATCCTAAAGGTCAACTTTCTCACGCTAAAAAAGAAAATGGGCATCAGGCGAAGGTGCAGGGAGCGCAGAGAATGCTCAGTGCAGCAGCTGGTGGTTGTCCTGTACCTGCTTCGTGCTTGTCTGTGTGTTTTGCCCAAAGTGATGTGGGCCCGAAGTTACTGCCAGGATCTGTCTGTGCCCTAGTTTTGCCCAATTCTCACGTCACCAATTCTACGACCCTTATTTCAGATTGAAATTTTTTCATGTGAGACCCACTACCTGAAGAAGGCAACCCTGCTTACTTACTCTAGTAGGAAAAGGAATGCTGGTTTTCTCAGAGTGAAACTATTTAAAATCTTACCCCTTATTTTTCCAAACACACCCCTCCCACAGTGCTCCTAACATGTTTTAGTTGACAATTAAACGTCTTTGTGAATTAGTTTTTTTGTTCCCTGTTCCACATTTCCCCTACCCATAAGGCTTACGTATTTCCTGTAAAGCAAGTACCCTTCTTTTAAAACAAAGAACCATGAAATTAAGAAAGGTTTTTTGGCTGGACACGGTGGCTCATGCCTGTAATCCCACCACTTTGGGAGGCCAAGGCGGGTGGATCACCTGAGGTCAGGAGTTCGAGATCAGCCTGGCCAACATGGTGAAACCCCGTCTTTACTAAAAATATAAAAATTAGGCATGGTGGCATGCACCTGTAATTCCAGCTACTTGGGAAGCTGAGGCAGGAGAATCACTTGAACCTGGGAGGCGGAGGTTGCAGTGAGCTGAGATTGCACCACTGCACTCCAGACTGAACAACAGAAAGAGACCCTGCCTCAAAAAAAAAAAAAAAGTTGTTTTTTTTTTTTTTTTTTTGGAATTGTTGTTTTGTCTTTTTAAAAACATTAGTGATGGTGACCAAAACTTGGAACTTGGAAGCTGTCAGTTGGGTGAGGCTTTCCAGGCTGTGTTTTCTCCATCTGATGCTCTTCTAGCAAGCATTTTCTTTCAGTAAAACTCCCAGGGGAAAAGAATGTGAAATAACTACTTTGTAAATGATACCAAGCCTCAATGTTAATGTTCAGTATTGATATTGAATGTCTCTCAGCATTTTAGTTAGTTATGTGTCATCTTCCCTTAGGTTTAAGAATGTCATATATCAGCTATCCTGTTAAGGATATGTATTTAATCCTTTGAAAATATATATATATATACACACATACCAAATACATATAAAATTGAAAGGCTCTGTTTTATATTTTTATGTATGGGGAAAATGGGGAGAATTTCAACTTACTTTGTAATCGGGTCCTAACAGTTCATGATTTTTAATAAGTAGCAATCTTACCAGCAGTGCTTTCCCACCGTAGATTTAATTAGTCTTTCTTCCCCCACCCCCAACCCCTTTTGCTAGTTGACGGAGCTGAGAGGAGGGAAACGGCCGCAATTTGAAACCTTGTTAGAAATTTATGAAGTGCTAAAATGTTTTATTCCCAGAGGCTGGCTTGCCAGCTGTCACGAGCTCCCTGCCTGCCTCCGCGGCTGTGATAGCAGGGGTAAGAGGGAGGCTGCCAGAGCTGCACAGGGTGGGGAAATGCCATTCCCATCAGCAGCACAGGGCGGAGGTCAGCTCCTCGTTCTCCTGCAGCTGACCAGCCACATGTGAGATGAGAATTCAGGGGATCTGGAGCGGGCATCGGAGCCCTAGAGTAAGACCCTTTGCGGCTGTTGATAACAGGCACTGATCGCTGATCATGCAATGAGACGTCAGCTTTGGTTATAGAAATTAAACAACCATTCTGTTGGTGGCCTCAAACAGATAATTGGCCTCTTACTAGCAAAATGTCCCTGAACTAATTTTTTCTGGAGGAAACACCTTCTCACAAATGTTACCAGGTGTGAAGGATGTTCTTCCCGGGGTCATAGCCTACCTGCAATGACTCTCTGTGTCCCCATCCCTCCCCCATTGCTTCTATGATGCCTGGAATGTGTCTCTCAGGAAACAAAGTTTAAAAAAATTTTTTTTCTTTGGTCCTTGAATGGAAATATCACTTGCACACTGTGGTCATAGATACCCCAGAGAATAAACAATTCATAATAAAGGTGCAAATCACCCACGTTAGATGCTGAGCTGGAGGAAGTGCTAAGTCTGACATGATGGAGACCAAAAGGCCCCACGGAAGCAGAGGAGGAGGAGGAAGTGCCTCCTCCAGGGCCAGGGGCTGGGCCAGGCAGTGCCTTCATGATTTGCCTCCAAGTTGCTCTGCGCAAGGAATTGGGCATGGAAGAAGGAGCCAGAGACCTCAGAAATCTTCATGGCAATGACATTGGTTAGGAAAGTATGCCCTCAGCACCCTCTCCTACTTCCTCTGCCTCTCCAAACCAACAATTATAGTAAGTACTTTTGGTTCCACAGAACTTTCTGACAAGTTCTTTTTTTTTTTTTCTGTGATACATGTGCAGAATGTGCAGGTTTGTTACATAGGTACACATGTGCCATGGTGGTTTGCTGCACCTATCAACCCATCTCGGTTTTAAGCCCTGCATGCATTGGGCATTTTTCCTAATGCTCTCCCTCTCCTTGCCCTCCACCCCCTGACAGGCCCCGGTGTGTGATGTTCCCCTCTCTGTGCCCCTGTGTTCTCATTGTTCAACTCCCACTTGTGAGTGAGAACATGTGGTGTTTGGTTTTCTGTTCCTGTGTTAGTTTGCTGAGGATGATGGTTTCCAGCTTCATCCATGACCTTGCAAAGGACATGAACTCATTCATTTTTATGGCTGCATAGTATTCCATGGTGTATATGTGCCATATTTTCTTTATCCAGTCTATCATTGATGGGTATTTGGGTTGGTTCCAAGTCTTTGCTATTGTAAATAATGCAGCAATAAACATACATGTGCATGTGTCTTTATAGTAGAATGATTTCTAATCCTTTGGGTATATACCCAGTAATGGGATTGCTGGGTCAAATGGTGTTTCTGGTTCTAGATCCTTGAGGAATCGCCACACTGTCTTCCATAATGGTTGAACTAATTTACACTCCCACCAACAGTGTGAAAGTGTTCCTATTTCTCTGCATCCTCACCAGCGTCTGTTGTTTCCAGACTTCTTAATGATCACCATTCTAACTGGCTTGAGATGGTATCTCATTGTGATTTTGATTTGCATTTCTCTAATGACCAGTGATGATGAGCTTTTTTTCATTTTTTTTTTTTTTTGGCGGCATAAATATCTTCTTTTGAGAAGTGTCTGCTAATATACTTGACCCACTTTTTGATGGAGTTGTTTGTTTTTTTCTTGTAAATTTGTTTAAGTTCCCTGTAGATCCTGGATATTAGCCCTTTGTCGGATGGGTAGATTGCAAAAAATTTCTCCCATTCTGTAGGTTGCCTGTTCACTCTGATAATAGTTTCTTTTGCTGAGCTGAAGCTCTTTAGTTAATTAGATTCCATTTGTCAATTTTGGCTTTTGTTGCCATTGCTTTTGGTGTTTTACTCATGAAGTCTTTGCCCATGCCAATGTCCTGAATGATATTGCCTAGGTTTTCTTTTAGGGTTTTTATGGTTTTAGGTTTTACATGTAAGTCTTTAATCCATCTTGAGTTAATTTTTATATAAGGTTTAAGGAAGGAGTCCAGTTTCAGTTTTCTGCATATGGCTAGCCAGTTTTCCCAGCACCATTTATTAAATAGGGAATCCTTTCCCCATTGCTTGTTCTTGTCACGTTTTCCAAAGATCAGATGGTTGTAGATGTGTGCTGTTATTTCTGAGGCCTCTGTTCTGTTCCATTGGTCTATATATCTGTTTTGATACCAGAACCATGCTGTTTTGGTTATGGTAGACTTGTAGTATATTTTGAAGGCAGGTAGCATGATGCCTCCAGCTTTGTTCTTTTTGTTTAGAGTTGTCTTGGCTACACAGGCTCTTTTTTGATTCCGTATGAAATTTAAAGTAGTTTTCTCTAGTTCTGTGAAGAAAGTCAATGTTAGCTTGATGAGAATAGCATTTAATCTATAAATTATTTTGGGCAGTATTGCCATTTTCATAATATTGATTCTTCCTATCCATGAGCATGGAATGTTTTTCCATTTGTTTGTGTCCCCTCTTTTTTCTTTGAGCAGTGGTTTGTAGTTCTCCTTGAAGAGGTCTTATCGCATCCCTTGTAAGTTGTAATTCCAGGTATTTTATTCTCTTTGTAGCAATTGTGAATGGGAGTTCACTCATGATTTAGTTCTCTGCTTGTCTATTATTGGTGTATAGGAGTGCTTGTGATTTTTACACATTGATTTTGTATCCTGAGACTTTGTTGAAGTTGTTTATCAGCTTAAGGAGTTTTAGGGCTGAGATGATGGGGTTTTCTAAATATACAATCATGTCGTCTGCACACAGAGACAATCTGACTTCCTCTCTTCCTATTTGAATGCCCTTTATTTATTTCTCTTGCTTGATTGCTCTGGCCAGAACTTCCAATGCTATGTTGAATAGCAGTGGTGAGAGAGGGCATCCTTGTCTTGTGCCAGTTTTCAAAGGGAACGCTTCCAGCTTTTGCCCATTCAGTATGATATTGGCTATGGGTTTGTCATAAACAGCTCTTATTATTTTGAGATATGTTCCATCAAGACCTAGTTTATTGAGAGTTTTTAGCATGAAGGTGTTTTGAATTTTATCAGTCCTTTTCTGCATCTGTTGAGATAATCATGTATTTTTTGTCATTGGTTCTGTTTATTGATTTGTGTATGTTGAATCTGCCTTGCATCCCAGGGATGAAGCTGACTTGATCATGGTGGATAAGCTTTTTGATGTGCTGCTGGATTCGGTTTGCCAGTATTTTACTGAGGATTTTTGCATCGATGTTCATCAGGGATATCGGCCTGAAATTTTCTTTTCTTGTTGTGTCTCTGCCAGGTTTTGGAATCAGGATGATGCTGGCCTCATAAAATGAGTTAGGGAGGAGTCCCTTTTTTTCTATTGTTTGAAATAATTTCAGAAGGAACAGTATCAGCTCCTCTTTGTACCTCTGGTAGAATTTGGCTGTGAATCCGTCTGGTCCTGGGCTTTTTTGGTTGGTAGACTATTGATTTACTGCCTCAATTTCAGAACTTGTTATTGGTCTATTCAGGGATTCATCTTCTTCCTTGTTTAGTCTTGGGAGGGTGTATGTGTCCAGGAATTTGTCCATTTCTTCTAGACTTTCTAGTTTATGTGTGTAGAGGTGTTTATAGTATTCTCTTATGGTAGTTTGTATTTCTGTGGGATCAGTGGTGATATCCCCTTTATCATTTTTTTATTGTGTCTATTTGATTCTCCTCTCTTTTCTTCTTTATTAGTCTATCTAGTGGTCTATCTATTTTGTTAATCTTTTCAAAAAACCAGCTCCTGGATTCATTAATTTTTTGAAGGTGTTTTCATGTGTCTAACTCCTTCAGTTCTGCTCTGATCTTAGTTATTTCTTGTCTTCTGCTAGGTTTTGAATTCGTTTGCTCTTGCTTCTCTAGTTTCTTTAACTGTGATGTTAGGGTGTTGATTTTACTTCTTTCCCACTTTCTGATGTAGGCATTTAGTGCTATACATTTCCCTGTAAACACTGCCTTAGCTGTGTTCCAGATATTCTGGTACACTGTATCTTTGTTCTCATGGGTTTCAAAGAACTTGGTTATTTCTGCCTTAATTTTGTTATTTACCCAGTAGTCATTCAGGAGCAGGTTGTTCAGTTTGCATGTAGTTGTGCGGTTTTGATGCTCTACATGTTTAGAGAAACTTCTCTAGTAATGAACTATAGAAATGATCCCTGAAAGTACTCTTCTGATAAGTTCTTTTTTAAAAAAGTAAACGTACCAGGGCACTCTCTAATTGGGATCGTTTCTCTCTGTATTAGTTTGTTAGGGCTGTTAAGAAAGCATCACAAACTGAGAGGCTTGAACAAGAGAAGTTTGCTCTGTCTTGCAGTTCTGTAGGCTCCAAGTCCAAGATGAAGGTGTCAACAGGGTTGTTTTTTTTCTGAGAGCTGTGAGGGAAAGATCTGTTCCAGTCCTCTCTCCTTAGCTGGTGGATGTCTGTATTCATGATCACATGATGTTCTCCCTGTAGTACACATCTGTGTTCAAATATAAGATGAGAGATGGAGGGGTGGAGGAGAGAAAAAAAGAGGGAGGGCGGGAGGGAGAGAGAGAGAGATGCTATGTTGTTGGCTTTGAAAATAGAGGGGGGGCCATGAGCCAGGAAATACATGTAGATTCTAGAAGCTAGAAAAGATAAGGAAACAGACTCTCTCCTAAAAACATTTGATAACAGGTACCGAGCTGGGAGACTTGGAGCAGATAAGAGCTGTACTTAGATTTAGCAAAACTGCATCTTCGTGATGAGCCAGACTCAAGGATGATAAAGTCCACTACTTGGAAGGATCATGGATGCAGCCTTGGGTTTAACTTGAAGTCATTCACTGAGTTCAGATACCAGACTGACTCTTTCCATAAGGAATTGCCTGGTTAGGTGAGGGTAGAAATTCAACAATGACTGTTGCATTCCAGAAGAAGGAAGGCAAAGAGCCAAACTCCAAGTTGTGCTTTGGGAATGTTGTGATTATAAGTAAGTGCATCAGCTCCAGGCTCCCCAGTGTCACATGCACACACTATGGGGACTGATCGTGTTGATTCTCAGTGAGGTGTCTTGGGGACCCTGTCCCAGCTGGGAAGGTAGGGATGTATTAGAAGGCTTGGTGCCAGGTGCAGAAAGGGGAAGATTCTGGAGGCCAGGCACAGTCCATGAGCTGTAGCCAGAGATATGGCATGAGAATAACATCTAACTTCCCAGAAAAACAGCACAGCCAAGCCAGGCATCAGTCAAGGATCACAGGAGGAGAGATTTGCAGGAAAGCAAGGTTCCTCTACCTGGGTGGCAAAATGCCACAGCTGCTGAGGCTTCCTTGACTCTTGCCTGCTTGAAACTGGCAAAGCAGTGACTGCTGGTGGCTATGAATGCTTGTTAAATGGCCCATTCTTACTCCCTGACTGGCCTGTGCCCAGGACCTCTGCAGTTGGATAGAAAGACAGTGTCTCTAGGGTAAGGCAGGTCAGAATCAAACACAAATTCCACTCAGTATGACCTGTGGCTCCTGTGCAAGCTAACGTCACCCTCTCAGCCTCAGTTTCATGATGTAAAAAACAGGAGGAATTCTGAAATATTTGAAGCAGCTGTGAAGCAAGGGCCAATTGAATCAATAAATGTGAATGTGGCTGGGCGTAGTGGCTCCTGCCTTTAATCCCAGCACTTTGGGAGGCCATGGTGGGCAGATCATGAGGTCAAGAGATTGAGACAATCCTGGCCAACGTGGTGAAACCCCGTCTCTCTCTACTAAAAACAATAAAAATGAAAAAAAATTTCAAAAATTAGCTGGGTGTGGTGGCATGCACCTGTAGTCCCAGCTACTCGGGAGGCTGAGGCTGAAGAGTTGCTTGAACCTGGGGGGTGGAGGTTGCAGTGAGCCAAGATCCTGCCACTGCATTCCAGCCTGGTTGCAGAGCAAGACTCTGTCTCATAAATAAATAAATAAATAAATAAATAAATAAATAAATAAATAAATAAATAAATGTAAACGTATCCAATACAGCTCCTGATTCTTCATGGAGGCAAAAAGATGAATGCCCCTCTCGTCACCTCCCCCTTTTGATGTGTGGAGGGCGATGGCTGCATTTTCATCTGGGACAGTGATGGAGATAGAAGGCGGCAGTGAGGAAGGAAAAGGAGGGAAGCAAAGACTGGCACCCCAGGCTGTGCAATGACTGCTGCCAGGGGCAGGCTCATGGGATGATGGCAGGAGGGATGGGGAGCTGGCTTTGAAGTCCTGGACTGAAGCCAGAATGGTTCTCATGCTCCCGTAGCAAGTGCTCCGAGGCCAGCCCCAGCAATCAACCCAACTGAGGGCAGCACAGAAGAGTCTGGACAGCCCACTCCCCGCCGTATTGATGTGCATAATTAGCCTGCAGGTGCACCTTGACTGGGGGACAGAGAGATAGGCAGGCCAGCTGGCAGGCTGCCCCCAGGGATATGGGTATTTATCCATGATCAGAAGGGCACAAGCGAGTCACGTGCACTTTAAAGATCATTCAGTTGGTTTTTTTATTCAGGCTTAAAAAGATGTAATCCAGCCTGAAAAGATTCCAGGGGCAATGAGGAATTCAAAGCAGAGCCGGCTATTAGGTGACCATGATGCTTGGAGAATGTGGGGGCAAGGAGGAGTCCTGATGCATGGGGTCATGGAGAGTGGTGGGAGTGAGATGGGCACTCAGGATAGGCTTGGAGCACGTGGGAGGCTGAGAGCCTGGGGACTGTGGAATCCAACCTGGAATCCTCTTGGATGGACTGGGAGACTCAATGCCAAGAGATGAGACAGGATGGGACTAAGAGCAAAGGCCCCAGGCTGGGAGGAGCTATGTGTCCCTTCTCTCTACCCTTCTCTCCCTCTCCTTTTTGTGCCTCCTCACTACCCCATTTCACACCCCTTCCAGGCAGCCTTGTGCAGTCCGGATCCCTGTACTCTAAGGATTGTCACAAGCATACTTGCGTTCTTTATTTATGATGATCTATTAACAAGAATAAATGGTTGTGGGTCAGATAAAGGGCTAAAAATCAAAAGTCATCCTTAACATCTTTAAGATGCTACTATGTATCATCTGTCAGGGCATGAGGGTCTTCATCAGGCCCACTAAAGAATCCCATTTCTCTTGAACCAAGTGTGTCATGACTGGGAGGAAGACAAGACCATTTGGGGTGTGAAGTTTTGGGCTAGAGGCCCTTTTAGGAGCCAGGTTAGCCCCCAGCTTCCCCAAGAAACCAAGCTGCCCCCCTCATCCTCGCCTAAGCAAGCAGCTGATGACAAAACCGGAGTTGGCCTGAGGGGTTCAAAGGAAAACCATAAATAGACCCCCCAAAATAAGAAAATCATGTAACTAAATTCTTTCCACTTTATGCCAGCAGTCACCACACCTCCTGTCCTCTGTATCTCAGTTTTAGGTCTTTTTTTTTTTTTTTTTGAGACAGAGTCTTGCTCTGTCGCCCAGGCTGGAGTGCAGTGGCACCACCTCGGCTCACTGCAAGCTCCGTCTCCCGGGTTCACGCCATTCTCCTGCCTCAGCCTCCCAAGTAGCTGGGACTACAGGCGCCTGCCACAGTTTTAGGTCTTTATTCTGTGTTCCTCTTTATTTTTTTCCCAGTCCCTTTTTCTGCATCTCTCAGAATATACACTAATGTCCTAGGACAGCCGTAACAAAGTGCCACACATTGGGTGGCCTAAAACAGGAGGAATTTATTTTGCCATAGTTCTAGAGGCCAGAAGTCTAAAGTCAAGGTGTGAGCACGGTGGTCTCCCTCTGAAGCTCCTGGTGGGAGTCTGCTTCGCCTCTCTCTGTGGCTGCTGGTGGCTGCCTTCTCAGTCCCTGTTGTCATATCTATCATACCGTGTTCTCCCTGTGGGTCTGTGTCTGCCTCTCTGGGTCTTTGTCCAGATTTTCCTCTTCTTATAAGAAAACCAGTCATTGAATTAGAGATCATTGTAATCCAGTATGACCTCATCTTAATTTGATGACATCTACAAAGTTCTTATTTCCAAATAAGGTCACATCCACGGGTACTGGGTGTTAGGACTTGAACTTACCTTTTAGGGGGACACGATTCTGTCCACTGTGATGGATATACGTGTATTCCCCCACATGAAACAGTACTCCACACATAGGGAGGATTCAATCGAGACTTGATGCCAAAACTTAGTGGCCCAAAGTGGCAAACATTTATGATTTCTCATGATTCTGTGGGGGCAGCTGTGCAGCTCTTCTAGTAAGGAGAGGCACTCTCTTGATTCTCTTAAGTGTCTGGGCTTCAAATCGGATGGCAGGCACAACTGGGCCTCAGCACATGCTCTTTACCCTCTGGTGGACTAGCCTAGCCTAGTACTCGGGTGGTGGACCCATGTCCCAGGAAGCCACAATGCTCATGCCCTTCCCAACTGCTTGCATCACATCTGGCAATATTCCTGTGACTAAAGCAAGTTGCATGGCCAACTCCAGATTGAAGGAGTAGAGAAGTCAGGGGAGCAGCCAAGTCACGTTGCACAGGACATGCATGAGGAATGAGAGAATTTGTTGCAGCCATTTTTTGCAAATAGTCTACCATAGAAGCTGAGTGACATGACCTTTTATATATGTGGAAGAGTAACAATATATACACATGGGCTGGGCACGATGGCTTACGCCTGTAATCCCAGCACTTTGGGAGGCCGAGACGGGTGGATCACGAGGTCAGGAGATCGAGACCATCTTGGCTAACATGGTGAAACCCCGTCTCTACTAAAAATACAAAAAAAATTAGCCGGGCTTGGTGGTGGGCACCTGTAGTCCCAGCTACTTGGGAGGCTAAGCAGGAGAATGGTGTGAACCCCGGAGGTGGAGCTTGCAGTGAGCCGAGATCATGCCACTGCACTCCAGCCTGGGCAACAGAGCAAGACTCCATCTCAAAAAAATAAAATAAAAATAAAAATAAAATACACACACATACACACACACACACACACACACACACGACCATTTGTTGGGCAATCTTTCTTACAGGCTGAATTGTAAATATTCCAGAGATAAATCGCACAGACTTGGGAGTTATATCGTCTGGCTTGCAATACTACCTCTAAGATGTGCAAACTGTATGGCCTTTGACCAACCTTTCTGTGCCTCAGCTTCCTCATTTATAAAACAAGAATAATAATACCTCCCTCCTATGGCTGTGAGTTGTAGGATAAAAGAAGTTAAAATATGAAGTGTTTAGTACAGTGTATTTGTCTATTCTTGCATTGCCATAAAGAAATGCCTGGGCTGCGCGTGGTGGCTCATGCCTGTAATCCCAGCACTTTGGGAGGCCGAGATGGGTGGATCACTTGAGGTCAGAAACTCAAGACCAGCCTGACCAACATGATGAAACCCCATCTGTGCTAAAAATACAAAAATTAGCTGGGCATTGTGGCAGGAGCCTGTAATCCCAGCTACTTGGGAGGCTGAGGCAGGACAATCACTTGAACCTGGGAGGCAGAGATTGCAATGAACCGAGATCATGCCAATGCACTCCAGCTAGGGTGACAGAGCAAAACTCTAACTCAAACAAAAAAAAAGAGACTGAGTAATTTATAAAGAAAAGAGGTTTAATTGGCTCACTGTTCTGTAGGCTGTACAAGAAGCATAATACTGGCATCTGCTCAGCTTCTGGGGAGGCTGCAGGAAGCTTAGAATCATGGCAGAAGGCAAAGAGGGAGCAGGCAGCTCCTATGGCCAGAGCGGGAGGAAGAGAGGGGGGAGGTGCCACAAACTTTCAAATAACCAGATCTCACAAGAACTCACTCATTATCGTGACAGTACCAGGAGGATGGCACTAAACCATTCATGAGAAATCCACCCCCATGATTCAGTCACCTCCCACCAGACCCCACCTTCAACATTGGAAATGACATTTCAACATAAGTTTTTGGCAGGGCCACATATCCAAACCGTATCATACAGTGACATGCATAAAGCAATTACTAAATAAGTGCTATCTGTTTTAATTTAATTCCCAACTTCTTGCATCAGATCTGCCAATATTCCTGTAACTAAAGCCAGTTGCATGGCGAACACCAGATTCTAGGAGTAGAGAAGTCAGGGGAGCAGCAAAGTCACATTGCAAAGGACATGCATGAAGGATGACAGAATTTATTGCAGCCATTTTTTGCAAATAGTCTGCCATAGAAGCTATATGAATATCTCATTTCAAGATGTATGAGCATCTCATTTTGCTCTTAAATTCACATCAGTAAACTTTGGAATCCCCTACACAACTCGCCTATACCTTGGGGGGCCAGGGTGCTACCTCAGTCCTGCTCTCTGCCTTATCTTTTTATTGCAGCATTTTCACTCTGCTGTGGCCTCTCAGGGTAGGGGAGACCTTCCCTTTCCTTTTCTCCACTCCTACCAATCCAGAGTTTCTATCATCTAAACCATACCCACCCTCAAATCTAAGATTCCTCTCAAGAATCCAGGCAACATCTTTTTAAAAACTTTTTTATTTTTTATTTATTTTTTAGCAGGTGGGGACAGAGCCTTTTTATGTCACCCAGGCTGAAATGCAATGACATGATCTCAGCTCACTGCAAACTCTGCCTCCCGGGTTCAAGCAATTCTACTGCCTCAGCCTTCTAAGTAGCTGGGATTATAGGCATGCACCACCACGCCCAGCTAATTTTTGTATTTTTAGTAGAGACAGTGTTTCACCATGTTGGCCAGGCTGGCCTTGAACTCCTGACCTCATGATCCGCCCACCTCTGCCTCCCAAAGTGCTGGGATTACAGGCATGAGCCACCGTAACTGGACCCTAGGCAACATCTTAACCTCATCCTTATCCCCCAAATCTCTCCATGTCCTGCCCACTGCATCATCTCCCTTCCTCTTCCATGTTGTGGGAACTCTGTCCTGAGCCATATTCTAAGTCTTCACACCATGTCTTGTGGCAAAACTCCATCATTAGACCTCCAAGCTTTGTTCTGCCTTAATGCAGAAGGAGGCTTTGGGAATTTAGAAAACTCTCTTCCCTCTCAATTGTCCTATAAATCCAGACTTTCAAATGAAATGCTTACCATAGACTTGAGAAACAAATCAGAAACTCAGAGCAAAACCCTGAGTCTTTATTTTAGGCTGTATCTTTCTTTGAAGCAATGGCTGCCATCAACTCCGTGTGTGAAGGAGACACAGGACAATTAAGAAACAAAAATGAGCGGTGGTGTTGCAGGTGCTGTTGGTGCCTGCCTGGAGCCTGTCACCTCCTTACCATTTCCTGGCAGCACTTCCAGCTGCCCAGTAGCAACACTTCCCCTAAGGACTCTCTTTGGCAGGTGAAAGTGCCTGAGATTGACTCCTGAGAGCAGCCACGGCCAGTGACAGCCGGAGGTGGTGATGTAAACCTCAGCTAGCTAGGCTTTCAGGAAGAGTAACTGAGGCAGGGTCCTGCTCTGGTTCTCAGTGTCTCCAAGAGATGAAGCTGCCATTTCTCATAGTGGCGACTTGCTATAATGTGCCCTTCATTGACCGTCTTCCTTTTATTGTTCACTTGCCTCCTTTCCTGCCTGTGTTTCCTGAAACCAACTACCTCACATAAACTACTTTTGCTTGAATCCCTGTCACAGAGTCTCCTTCTGGGGGATTCTGAAGGTAGACACATTTAATATGTCAAAAGTATTGCACCTGTTGTGTGTTTTAGGGGAGTGATGATTAGCAGAAAATAGAAAGGAGGCTATTATAGTGGTCCTGGGCATGGGAGAACAAGAGCAGGTGCTGATAAAATCAGGAGAACTTGAATAGTGGCAGAGCTGGCAGAAACACGGAGGATGTGTCGGAGGGTCTGGTGTGCGGTTGCTCCCCACAGCGGAGTCTGAGCAAGAAAAGAGGCTCTGGCCTGATGGCAAGAAGACCTCACGGCTGTTTCTTGCCATTGCTGTCACTGTCATGTTCATAGGTTCACTGCCCATAGCAACTGAAAGAATGTCAAATGCTTGCACAACCCCCTTCAATTTGTAGATGAAAACTGGAAGTGTGGACAGGTTAAGTGGAAGCTCAAGGTCATAAAGCCAGCCAGCTGCAGAACCTTGCACTGTAAGTTTTTGTTCGTGACAAGGCCCAGCTCCACTTCAGGTGCGGTTCAGATTTTTGTCTTCATTCGTTCTATAAAACTTCATTTTTTGCTTTTTACTTCTCGACTCTTCTAATTGTCCTTTGTATGTCTATTAGGTGTGGGTCCCCCATTAGGCTGATCTGTAGCATAATTTCTACAATAGGAAAGGGAGATAAATAGGACATTTAAGATGCCTGGACTCATCTAAAGGTTGTTTAAAAGCAATTACTACCATTAGTTTGAAGCCTACCTCTGGCTACTCTGATAGTAATGTGCACCCAGCAATCCAATTAGTTTGGAAATGGATTAGTCTATTTGTTACCAATGTGTGTGGTTTAAAATCAGTATAATATACATCTAAAGGTGTGTCCATTTTATCTATTGACACTTTGTATAAATGTGTTGCTTCATCTTTCCGTAGGTAATTTACTCACTCCCTTCTCCCATACTAAATGTTTCTTCATTACAAATTGATTTCCTAAACTATGATTCATGATGTTTCAGTTTCATTGTCTTTATTAAATGACTGTAATTCTTTCTTTAGTTTTAAGGATTTCCATTTTGTGTCACCACATTGGACTAACCATGGACAACCAGATTTTCCATAGAATGAGGTCATTTTCTGGGAACTAACAGACCAAGGAATACCCCCTGATATACTACATTGGAGGAATCCTTGCAGATACTCTCTCCAAATGTGTTAAATAAATAAAATAGTATGTTCATCAAGTACCTCTGGGGTACCAGAAGCACAGATAAGCTGGTGTCCAACATGGAGCAAGTCTGGCATTGAGGTGTTAGAAGAAAAAGGCTGGGCTCCCTGAACTCTGTTACATGGTGGAGGCTGAGGGGCCTGTTGTGTAGATTCAGGTGCAGGCCACGTGACAGGGTGTTAGCCATGTAAGTCCATATTTTCTCCCATTGCTTCACATCTATTTCATCTATTACTTCATTCATTCAACAAATGCTTAGTGTCTATTATTTAAACGTTTCTGGGGATATACTAGTGAACAAAACACTTGCCTTTCCTCCTTGCTTCCCTCTTCTCCCCTTCTCTCCTCCTTTCCTTCCTTTTGTAATTCTTTACTCCCCGCTTTTTAAAATTGAGCTTATTTTCAGGGCTTCCTTTGAACATCTGCATTCTTATCCAGTTTTGGAACACTATTTGTGTTGTTGTTGTTCTGTTGGACAGGGTCTTTCTCCGATGCCCAGGCTGGAGTACAGTGATGTAATCATGGCTCCCTGTGACCTCAAACTCCTGGGCTCAGGTGCTCCTCTCGCCTCAGCCTTCTCAGTATCTAGGATTACAAACACAAGTCCCTGCACCCAATCTATAAAAGTATTTTTTTAAATAACTGCATATTTTATCACATATTGCCTCAAATCTTGTTGGTCCTCTTGCCAAATTGTCAGATATTAGTGGAGACACAGGTCAGTTTCCCAAGGAAAAGCATTAAACGTGGTCCCTGCCTCTTGCTGCAGCATTTGGCTGCAGGAATGTGTGTGGATTCCAAGCCAGAGGGAGGGCCCCACCTCATTAAGCCGACCTAGGGGAGGGCCCCAGCTGTGCTCAGTCAGGAGGAAGAGGTGAGCTGGCTTTGGAGAAAAGAAGAGGTTACAGCAGAAAGGAAGCACCCATTCTTGACAGAGTCTTAGGGAGCCTTCTCTCCTTTCTGGATACAAAGCTTCACACTATAATAAAACCATGTGGCTTATGTAGTTAATTGGTAGATTATTATTACCATGTACAAAGTGCTGTCAGGAGTGCAAAAGAAAAGATGACCTGCACTTTATTCTTGTTTTGACTCTTCTTGGAGTTTTGTCTATTGGGATGTTTGCCATCCAGTTGGGCTATAGAGCTAACAATGAATAGTGTGAATTTGCTGCACAGTGAGCTGGTAATGCAGCAGATAAGCAGAACAGAGGCATCAGATCAGTGGCCGAGGAGATGGGGATGGGGTCATTTATATTATGAATATTGGATTACAAGGAGGTGATGCACTCTGCTTGCTTCAATGATTTTTTAAATGTAACTTTGTCTTTTTTTGTCTTTTAAAAATGTAACTTAATTTTTTTTACACAAAATATAAACATGAATAGAACCCCACTTAAGAAATAGAAAAGTGTCCTTGAAAAGGCCCCTGTGTGCTCCTCTCCAATCACGTCCCCACCCCACCCTACAGTAGGAACCCCTCTCCTGAACTCCTTGTTAACTAATCCTCAATGTTCTTTGTAGTTGTACCACATGTTTGTAGCCTTAAGTAATATTTTGCTAAGATGTGCATGCTCTTGAACTTTATGTAATTAGAATCACAGAGGAAGAGTTCTTCTGGGACTAGCTTTGTTCTCCACATTATTGCTTTGAGATTTATCCATGGTGATGTGTGTAGTTTGTTCATTTATTCAACAAATAAATTTTGGAGGCAAATACTGAGTGCCACACATGGTTTCTGGCTGCTGGGGATACAGTGTGAACAAAACAGGCGGAAGCCTTCATCTTAAGGTAGCTTTATTCTAGTGGGTGTGGGAGAGCAATGCATCAGATAAATGAATATGTAGACTAGTAGATTGTAATTAGTGCAAAGAAACTGAAGCAGTGAAGAAGAGTAATTTTAAGGGAGACGTGGAGTTTCAGATAGGCTAGAGTCGGTCTCGCTGAGAAGGGGCACTTGAGTGAAACCTAAACGAAGTGATAGAGTCCTGGGGATGTCAGCGGGGGTGGAAGAGGGCTTTTCAGGCAGAGCAAACAGCAAACACCAAGGCCTGCAGCAGCCTGTGTGACAAGAGCAGGGTTAGCAAGGGAGGGACAGGAAGGGGAGATAGGGACAGAGAGGATGTTGGAGGTTTTTGAACAGGGTGGCATTATATGACTTATGCTTTAACAAGATTTATCTGGCTATTGTGTTGAGCATAGAGCTGAAGGGGCATGGGGACTGGAGCGAGGGCTCCAGGTGGGAGTCATTTTAGTCATTCTAACGAGAGATGGTGTGGACATGGGGAAAGGAGCAGCGTGCTGGGTGCATCACAAAGGCTGAGTGTAGGATTTTCTGATAGGTTGGATTTGAGGTGACAGAAAAAGTGAGAAATCAAGGACTGTAGCCTGAGCAGTTAGAATGGCAGAGGGACTGCTCATCGAGTGAGGGAAACAGGGCAGGGAAGGAAGATCAGGGGCTCAGTAAAAAGAATGTTCGGTTTCTGATGCAAATTCAACATCCTGGTGCAGATGTGAGCAGGCAGTTGGGTGTAGAAGTTTGGAGTTTAGATAAGAGGTCTGGATCAGACATGGAAATTTTGTTGCTGCCAGCCTGGAGATGATACTAAAAACCTTCAGAACGGGTGAGATCAAAGGGAGAAAGGGAGTGAGTACAAAGAGACTGGGAAAGAAAGAAAGTCCAGAGACTGTGTTCTGGGATCCTTCAAAACGTAGAAATCAGGAAGTAGGAACCAGCAACAGAGACTTAGAAAAAGCAGCAAGAAAATTCCTATCAGAGGGAAACCATGCATGATCAATAGTGTCAATTATCACTGCTACAGCAAAACACAGGCCACTGGTGACTGCAAGAGCATGTTCAGTGGAGTGGAGGGGACAAAAGCCAGCTTAAAATGAGAGACTAGGAGGCTGAGGGAGAAAGTGGAGCCAATGAGGTCAGGCATGGTGGCTCATGCCTGTAATCCCAGCACATTGGGAGGCTGAGATGGGTGGATCACCTCAGGTTGGGAGTTTGAGACCAGCCTGGCCAACATGGTGAAACTCCATCTCTGCTAAATATATAAAAATTAGCTGGGTGTGGTGGCGGGCACCTGTAATCGCAGCTACTCAGGAGGCTGAGGCAGGAGAATCACTTGAACCCAGGAGGTAGAGGATCCAGTGAGCTGAGATCACACCACTGCACTCCAGCCTGGGTAACATGTCTCAAAAAAGGAAAAAAAAAAAGAAGAAGAAAGTGGAGCCAATGAAGGATTAGAGGGGAGAGGCTACGTGGGAGAAATAACAAGGTTTCAGACAGTTACAGGCCGCCCTTTATACATTCCTCTGTAGGTGCACATTTAAGTCAGTTCCATCTCTCAGCTTCTGTGAACAGCGCTGGAGTAAACATGGAGTACAGACATCCCTTCAACACACTGATTTCATTTCCTTTAGATCTATATCCAGTAATGGGACTGCTGGCTCATATGCTATTTCTATTTTTAAATTTTTGAGGATCTTTCATGCCTCTTTCCATAATGGCTATACTTATTTACATTCTCACCAACAGCGTGGAAGAGCTCTCTTTTCTCCACATCCTCACCAGCATTTGTTAAATTTTTTGTGTGTTTTTGATGATAACCATTCTAAGGTGAAGGGATATCTCATTGTGGTTTTGATTTGCATTTCCCTGATGATTAGTGATGTTGAGCATTTTTTCATATAGCTGTTGGCCATTTGTATGTCTTCCTTTGAAAAATATCTATTCAGATCTTTTGTCCATTTTTAAATTTAATTATTTGCTTTTTTGATATTGAGTTGTTTGAGTTCCTTATATATTATGGATATTAATCCCTTGTCAGATGCATAGTGCACAAATAGTTTTTTTTCCCCATTCTGTAAGTTGTCTCTTCAATCTGTTATTTCCTTTGCTGTGCAAAAGATTTTTAATTTGATATAATTCCATTTGTCTATTTTTGCTCTTGTTGTCTGTGCTTTTGAGGTTGTCTTTAAAGAATCCTTGCTCCATTCCATGAAGCATTTCCTCTATGTTTTCTTCTAGTAGTTTCATAGTTATGGTCCTAACACTTAAGCCTCTGATCTTATTTGAGTTGATTTTTGAATATGGAGATAGTGATCTAGTTACATTCTTCTGCATGTGGATATCCAGTTTCCGAGGACCGTTTATTGAGGATACTGTCCTTTCCCCAATGAGTACTTCTGGTGCCTTTGTTAAAAATCATTTGGATATACATACATATATTTATTTCTAGGTTCTGTATTTTGTCACATTCATCAATGTATCTGTTTTTACGCCAGTGTCATCCTGTTTTGGTTACTATAGCTATGCAGTATATTTTCATCAGGTAGAGTGATGCCTGAAGCTTTGTTCTTTTTGCTGAAGATTCCTTTAGCTCTCCAGGATCTTTTGCATTTCCATATGAATTTTAGGATTGTTATTTCTATTGCAGTGAAGAATGTCATTGAGATTTTTATTATAGAGATTGCATTAAATCTGTAGATCACTTTGGATAATATGTATATTTTTAAACATTATTTCAGTCCATGAACATGGAATATCTTTCTAATTTTTTGTGTCCTCTTCGATTTCTTTCATTGGCGTTTTATAGTTTTCATTGTAGGGATTTTTCACCTCCTTGGTTAAGTTTATTTATAGGCATTTTATTTATACCTTGTAACTATTGTACATGGAATTACTTTTTCAATTTCAATTTCAAATAGTTTGCTATTGGCATATAGCAAACACTACTGATTTTTATATGTTAATTTTATATCCTACACCTTTACCAAATTCATTTATTAGTTCTAATATTTTTTTTTTGATGGAGTCTTTAGGCTTTTCTCTAACCATCTATCTAATTATGATGATATTGTCTGCAAACAGGGAAAATTTGACTCCCTCTTTTCTTAATTTGGATGCCTTTTCTTTCTTTCCCTTGCCTAATTACTCTGGACAGAATCTTCAGTGCTATGTTGAACAAAAGTGGTGAATGTGGGCATTTTTGTCTTGTTCTACATCTTAGAAATGAAGTTTTCAACTGTTTCCTGCTCAGTATGATGTTCTCTGTGGATTTGTCATATATGGCCTTTATTAAATTAAGGTGTGTTGTTTTTATAACCAATTTCTGGAGGATTTTTATGAAGGAATTGAATTTTATCAAATTTTTTTCAGCATCTATTGAAATTATCATATGGATTTGGCCTTGATTCTGTTAATGTGGTAATATTATGTTTATTGATTTGTGTATGTTGAATCATTCTTGCATCTCTGTGATGAATCCCACTTGATCATGGTGAATTATCTTTTTAATATATTATTGAATTCAGTTTGGTACTATTTTCTTGAGGATTTTTTGCATCTGTATTCATCAGGAATATTGGCCTATAGCTTCCTTTTTTGTTGTTGTATTCTTTTCTGATTTTTGGATCAGGGTAATGCTGGCCTCATAGAATGAGTTTGGAAGTGTTCCCTCCTTGTCAATTTTTTGGAAGAATTGGTAGAATTCTTGTGAGAAAGATTAGTTGTAAATCTTCTTTAAATGTTTGGTAGAATTTATCAGTGATACCATTAAGTCTTGGGAGTTTTTTGAATGGGAGATTCTTTAGTACTGCCTCAATATGGTTATTCATTATTGGTCTATTAAGATTTTCTATTTCTTCATGATTTAATCTTGCTAGGTTGTGTCTGTCCAAAATTTACTCATTTCTTCTAGATTTTCCAATTTCTTGGCATATAGAAATTTACAATAGGCTCTTATGGTCCTTTAAATTTTTGTAGTATCAGTTTTAATGTTTCCTTTTTCATCCCTGATTTTATTTATTTGAGTCCTTTCTCTTTTTCCTTAGTCTAGCTTAAGGTTTGTTGTTTTTTTTTTATTTAAACAAAAATACCTCCTTGTTTTCTTGATCTTTTGTATTGTTTTTAAAACCTCTATTTTGTTTATTTCTGCTCTGATTTTTGTTATTTTTCCCCTTCTAATTTGGGGTTCAGTTTGTCCTTCTTTTCTAATTTCTTGAGTTGTGACATTGGATTTTTTATTTGAGATCTCTCTACATTTTGGATGTAGGCATTTATCACAGTAAAATTCCCTCTTAGAACTGCTTTTACTATATCCCATAGGTTTTGGTATGTTGTGTGCATATTTTCATTTGATCGAGAAATTTTTAAATTTTATTTTTGATTTCTTCACTAACTCCTCTGTTGCTCAGGAGCGTGTTGCTTAATTTCCATGAAGTTTTACAGTTTTGAACATTTCTTCTGTTATTGATTTTTAGTTTTATTCCATGGTGGTCAGAAAAGACACATATGATTTTGATTTTTAAAAAATTTCTAAGACTTGTTTTGTGACTTTCATAATCTATCCTGGAGAAAATATCATGTCTTGTTGAGAAAAATGTGTATTCTGAATCTATTGGGTGGAAAGTTCTGTAAATGTCTGTTGGATTCATTTGATCTAGAAGGCTGTTTAAATCCAACGTCTCTTTGTTGGTTTTCTGTCTGGATAACCTTTCCATTGCTGAAAGTAGGGGTATTAAAGTTCCCTACTCTTATTGTATTATAGTCAATCTACAGACCTTTCAGATCTATTAATGTTTTCCTTACATATTTGAGGGTCTCAAATATTGAGAGTCCCAGTTTTGGGTGCATACATATTTACAATTGTAATGTTCTCTTTCTGTATTGATCCCTTTGTCATTATATCATGGTCTTTTTGTTTATTT
Source organism: Homo sapiens (assembly GCF_000001405.40). NCBI lineage: Eukaryota > Metazoa > Chordata > Mammalia > Primates > Hominidae > Homo > Homo sapiens. Next base: position 886,096 of record NW_025791814.1, on the reverse strand, counting down.
TTTACCATTCTTGACCTAAAGTCTATTTTATCTGATATAAATATTGTTATTCCTGCTTTTTTTTTTTGCTTCAATTTGTTTGGAATATCTTTTTTCCATCTCTTTAGTCTGTGCATGTTTTTATAGGTGAAAGATCTCTTGTAGACAGCATATAATTGGGCATTTTTAAAAATCCATTCAGTCACTCTATGTCTCTTAATTGGAGATTTTAATTCATTTGCATTTAAGGTTATTATTGTTAGGTGGGGCTTTACTACTACCATTTTGTTACTTGTTTTCTGGTTGTTTTATAGATCCTTTCTACCTTGTTTCATCTCTTATTGTTTTCCTTGAGAGATTTTTTTTTTCTAGTAGTATGTTTTGATTTCATGCTCATTATTTTTAGTGTATCTATTATAAGTTTTTGCTTTGTAAATACCATGATGCTTAAAATCATGTTATAGTTAAAACAAGTTATCTTAAACTGATTAACAACTTAACTTTGACTGCAAATTAAAGCAAGAAAAACAAACTACATTTAACACCATCCCACACACGTTCATTTTTATTTTTGATGTTTCAATTTACATCTTTTTATATTAACTCTTAACTAATTGTTGTAATTACTATCTTTAATAATTGTTTCTTTAGTCTTCATACTTAAGATCCAAGTGGTTTACGTTCCACAATTACAATATTATAGTATTCTAAATTTGTCTGTATTCTTACTTTTACCAGTGAATTTTATACCGTTAGATCTTTTCTTGTTACAAATTAGCACCCTTTTCTTTCAGATGAAGAACTCTTGTCAGCATTTCTTGTAAGACAGATCTGATGTTGATGAATTTCCTCAGCTTTTCCTTGTCTGGGAAAGTCTTTATCTCTCCATTGTGTTTGAAGGATACATTTTCCATGTGAACTATTCTTGGCTACAAGGTTCTTTCCCTTCAGCACTTTGAATATATCATCCCAATCTCTTCTGGCCTGCAGTGTATCTGTTGAGAAATCTGCTGAAACTTGCACTGGGGCTCAGGTGAATGTGATATGTTTTCTTTCTCTTGCTGCTTTGAGTATTTCTTCTTTATCTTTGCTTTTTGATAATTTGATGCTGTGCCTTGGTTAATTTCTCTTTGGGTTGAATTTGATTGGTGATCTCTGAGCTTTTTATACTTGGATACTGTCCTTTTTCTCCAGATTTAGGAATATCTTAGCGATTATTTCCTTAAACATGCTTTCTAGAACTTTTTCTCTTTTATCTCCTGGGGAACTACTATTATATAGAGGTTAGTTTGCCTGATAGTATCTCATAATTCTCATAGGCCTTCTTCAATCTTTTTTTAAAGATTTTTCTCCTCTGATTGGGTAATTTTATATGTTCTGTCTTTGAGGTTGTGGGTTCTTTAAGTCTGCTATTGAAGATTTCGAATAAGCTTTTCATAAATTTCAATAAGTTCAGTTATTGTATTCTTTATTCTTAGGATTTCTATTTGGATTTTTAAAAAGTGTTTCTATTTACTTGCTAAATTTCTCAAATTCTTTCAAAATTTCACTGCATTTTCCATCCACATTTTCTTGTGACTCCCTGAAATTAAAGAGGATTATTCTGAATTCTTTCTCAGACATTTGATAGATATTTAATTCTTCTGGGTCCATTATTGGAGTTTTGTTTGTTTCTTTTGGTGGCATCATATTTCCCTGAGATTGTTTTTGTTGTTGTTTTGTTTTTTTTAAACAATTTTTGCGTGTTTTATGATGATGCCTGCATATTTGAAGAGAAAGCCACTCTTCCAGCTTCTGCTGGTGTTATTAGTGTTGGACCTCTACTACTTGATATTGGGACTTAATCACTGCCCTGCCATTGTTTCCCAGTCTAGGGAACACTTATAGTGAGCACTGGAACTTAAACACTGGACTAGAACTAAATTGCTACTCTACTATTGTTTCCTGGTCTGGGAAAGACTTAAATACGTACTGGAACTTAATTTCCAAAGGAACTTAATTTCCAAACTCAGTTGTTTCCAGGTCAGGGGAAGACTCCACATGAGCACCTGAGCTTTGTGGGAAGTCTGGCCAGAGATTCAGACCTTCCTGCCGATCATGCTTCCTGCAGCACTATAGTGCTGGCCGGTCTCCTCAGTATGACATCTGCATCCCTGCTGATTGGAGCTCCAAGATTCCAGCACCAAGTGATCAGCACCCCCACTTTTTGTCCCCAGTTCACCCCAGGTAGTTCAGCCCTCCTAGCTCTCCCAGGGGTTCCTGTGCAGTGAGACCTGAGTGGGCTTCCCATGAAGATTCCCATACTGGTAGGGGGATCAAACATCCACCTCCAATTCCATCTTCCCACCTTAGAAACCATGAGTCTGTGTCAATTCTCTGTGAGTGGCATTATACAAGCCTGGAGAAGAGAGTGGCACAGTCTGAAATGACCATTTTTCTTAGTTATTATGGCCTAGTGGGTTTCTCCACTTCTCCCCAAGTTCTGGTGAATTCATGGTGGTATTCTTGTCTTTTAATAGTTTCCAGTTGTATGTTTGTGGAGGAAATAATGTCAGGGTGTCTTCTATTCTGCAATCTTGCTCATGTTTCTCCTTCATAATTACTGTTACTTTTTATAGAATTGTATTTAGATCTATTGGTCAGCAGATTTGATTATAAGAAATTTTGACCTATTTACATCATGAGAACAAAGAAAAATTTTGAGAAATGATAGGGAGAATTCCTCAGATCAAGGACTTGTGAAAGATCCTGAGAACTGTTGACCAGACAGAAACATGGTATCAGAATAACTCTCTTGTATCACAAAATTTTTTTTTAAATGTACTTCTTTATCTCAAATTTTAATTTTTTAAAATATACATTTGATTGTTTTTTTCTTCTAGTATAAGCAGATCCTCACTGCATGTTTTGGGGTGTGAAATTCGACATCTCTAGCAGGTTAACCTCTTGTATTATGTCAGAGTGGGGAATAAGCTCAGAAAAATATAATTTATGGAGAACATTTTCTCATTTTCTGGGACCTTGTAAAGACCTTATTTGTTCCAGGTGACAGGCCCCAAGTGGAATAAAAGGCCATTATTGTGAGAAATGACAACTCAGATATAGCAAAGTTGTTGCCAGGAGTTGATGATGCAGAAACAATTTATTTTGGGCAAGATGGTATTGAATGGGGAGTCTATTAGTGGTATTTTACCATGTGAATTTCTATATGAACCATGTCTGTGGGAGCACTGCTGCATTCATTTGTGGGATGTACTGCTTTTTGCTAGTTGCCGTCAATAAAATCTGTTCTGTAGCTCTTCAAAGTGGTTGATTCAGCCACTCTGTATTCAGGCCATAAAGATCATGAAATGAAAGTCTTCTGAGCTCCAATTAGAGTGGAATGTTATATCTCAATGCAGAAGTCTTCTTCAGTAAAGTAAGTGTAAGTATAAATTTGTTTAGTGAAAAGTACCTTTTGGAAATTGTACTTTTGAGACAGAGGCATTCAAACTCTGACTACCGCTTGCCAGGTGGGTAATTTAGGGGATACTGCTTAACTTTTTTGATAATTGTATTTCCTCATCTTTAAAATAAAAATAATGATGAAAATGTTAATTAAAAGGATGATGATGATATTGACAATAATGGCAATGATGATCATGACAGTGAAGATGGCAATAACAGTAACAATGAATCTGGTGATGATGATGACAATCTCAAACAACTGTTGTAAGGATAGGACGTAATCCATTCAAAGTAACCAGCACAGACCCTGGCCCACTAAAGGGAGATCATTAAATTTCAGCTGCCCTTAACTGCTTTCTCAAACCTCTACTCTGTTTTCTGGATTTTCTTTATTTGTGTATATGTATCAGTTTTATATTGCTGCTGTCACAAATTATCACAAACGTAGTGGCTTAAAACAACATACATTTATTCTCTTGCAACTCTGAAGGACAGAAGTACAAAATCACTTTCACTGGATGAAAATCAGTGTGTCAGTAGGACCATGTCCTTTCAGAGTCTGTAGAAGAGAACCCATTCCCTTGGCTTCTCCAGCCCTACAGTGGTGCTCCTCATATTCCTTGGCTCCTGACCCCTTTCTCCATCTTTAAACAAATTCATTAAAGTTGCAGGATACAAAAATCAACATACAAAAATTAGTTGCATGTCTATGAGCTACACCAATAATGAGCTACCAGAAAAAGAAATTGGGAAATGAGCTGCATAGTGAAGTAATCAGAAATCAATTCACTGTCCTTAGTTCTGCTGGGACCTCCTGTTCAGGATTTGGCAGTACCAGTGACAAAGGCTAAAGCTGCTTGGAATTATATATTCTCCATCTTAAAATGCCAAGGTTACCTTGGACTTCAACCTCAGATGTCGCATGTGACTGTCTAGGTTGTACATAAAGATACGAAGGGTGCCCATTGAAGTTGGCCAGTGCACAACTTGTGTGGCTGTACGTGGTGGGCTTTTTCTGATGCCCACCAGACTAAAAACTCTAGAAATGTGTGATCTCTATCTATCTTGTATTCTCAGCACCTACTGCAGTTCTTGGCATACAGTAGAAATTCTCATTTAAGGAAATGAAGGAATGAACATATAGGAATAGTCAATACAAGAACACTAAGTAACACCTCATCTGGAGTTACTCAGGTCAGTATACTGAGCTGCTCATTCGAATCACCTGGTGGAAATTTTAAAAAATAAAAATCTCAGCCCAGATCCTATTGACAGACATTCTGATTTATTTCATCTGGATGGGGCTGCAGTATTACTGCTTTTCTAAGAAGTATCCAGGTGAATCTACCGTGCAGCCAGGTAGCTAGAACCTGCTAGTCTGGAAGAGTGGTTCTCAGACTTCATGCATTAAATTTACCCAGTGGACTTGTTAAACACACAGGTGACTTTTCTTACTCTGTCACTCTGAGTTTGGGGGCTGAGATATTGCATTTCTAGTAATCACTCAGGTAAGGCTGATGTTGTTGGTATGGGGAACCATGGTTTGAGAACTGCTATTCAGGAAGACAGCAGAGAAGATAAGTTCCTTTAGTGTGCATAGGTGGAAAACAGTTGGTAGAGTGATTCTGGAAGAGTGCATGCATGTGCATTCACATGTTTTATTAACATGTGAATATGAAAGATATTAAGCACCCATTTGTCCATTTTAAATATATAATTGTATCCCTTCTGTCCAACAGCATTTCACTGTAGACATTTTTAAGTGTCAGTTTTTTAGCTGAAAAACTAGAAAACCAAGGAAGTAAATCATTGCCCAAGCTAGACTTGATCTTTTCAGCATGTCAGAGTCTCATGCTTTAGAAAACCAGAGACCACTCTCACTATTTTGTGTTCATCCTCTTTCTCCATTTCCAGTCACTTTTTCTGCACTGACTTCAGGTTAATCTTCCATAAGAGGGCCTTGGTGTTCTCATCTTATTCCTATGCCCCCACTAAATTCTGAGTAAGTGTAACAGCCTTTGTCCTTCTGCATGCCACACAGTAGTTACCTAGCTAAGATATTGTCAATCAGTTTGAGAGACTATAAGCTGCCTAACCTAGAGTTGGAGGATAATACCAATCTGAGATCTTCTGAGCTTAGCATCATTATCAACTTCTGTTACTTCCACTAAAACCTTTGTAAATCACAGCAGATATATTTCAGAACTGTGCCACTTATCTCAGTGCCTCCAGGCATTTCAAAGTAGTCACTTCACACTTGCCATCCTCCCTGTCCTTCTGAGTCCTCCTCTCAGCCCCAGTGTGTCTACCACCTCAAAGCCTATGGTTGTTAGCCTGCCTTACTTGGGTCAAAGACCTTGACTCCTTCCAGATGGATCCTAAACTTCCCTTCCATTCACTTTATCCAAAATGAAATTGTACATTCTTGAAATACACAGCAGCACTCAACAAATGCTGAAAATTATATGATTAAAGTAATTTGCACTCAAATGTAAATAAGGCTTGATGCTCCATGGAAGTTTTGAATTTTAAAGAAGAGCTTTTTATTCCCAATGGCTCTAATGTGTGGGAAACATATTGGGGGAGGAGGCACATGGGGTCAGCAAATGCTGTGGACAATTCTCTGCCCTCTTTACCTGGGCTGCCGTTAGTTTGTCTGGCAGGGACTGAATATATGGCTTTAATATTCTGGCCAAACTATCTCCTCATCTCCCCTTAGCTTTGCAAAGTGGCTGCAGTAAAACCTGCCATGCTTGGATTGGCACGGCTCAAAGCTAACTGTATTTGAAACTTCACATTTCAAATCTCGAAGAAGACTTCTGTATTAAATTTAGAGTTTTTTATCCTCAAAGGAGTTGTACATTTTATTTGTGTCAAAATTTACAGAGCACTGTCTTAGGCGCTTTCTAGCAGTTGCTTTAAAGGGTTGTCAGCTCCAGGCATTTCCTCTGCCCACATACAGGTGTTGTCACATGTTCCCAGGTGAGGAGTTAGCAAGGGTTTGCTGTAGCTCTTGGTTTAAATGTTGGCAAAAAAAAAAAAAAAAAAAAAAAAAAAAAAAATTACACCTGCATCATCTAGAGGTGGCCTTTCCCAATGGACATTTCCACTTGTGATGATGGACTGAATATTGAAAATCATTTCTGGAAACTGTAAAGTGAAAGAAGCCACTGACACTGAACTGCCTGCCAGAATCAGGAGATAATTTCTTTTCTGGGGGAAAAAAAAAAAAAAACTAATTCTCTAAGTTTTAACTGATTTCGGGAAGTTAAAACTACAGTTTATCCCCAGGGTTATGGGCCAAACTGTACTTTTAAAAAAATTATATGTTGAATTCCTAACCCCCAGTACCTCGGGATGTGACTGGATTTGGAGATAGAGTCTTTAACGAGGTGATGAAGTTAAAATAATGTCATTAAGTTTGGCTCTAATGCAGTCTGACTGGCATCCTTATAAGAAGAGGAGATTAGGACAAAGACTCACACAGAGGGATAGCCCTGTGAAGACACAGGAAAGAGAGAGGCCCCAGGAAGAGCCAATCCTGCAGACAACTTGGTCCTGGACTTCTAGCATCTAGGACTGTGAGAACTAAATTTCAGTTGTTTAAGCCACTCATCTGTAGTGCTTTGTTATGGCAGCCCCAGCAACAAGAAAGTTGTTGTCAAAGAATACATCCTTTTGCTGGACCAGCCTCTCTGGGGCTGCCCCTTCCCTGAGCAGGTGGATTTCTCTGTCCGACTCCTCAAGGGCATGGCCCCCACCTCCCCCCAGCATTGCTGCAGACAGTGCTCCTGCCATTGTCCTCTTGTCGCCTGTCTAGGTTTGGTTGTCCTTGTTCTTTCCTCTTTGCCTATGGCTGAAATTAAGAATGGTGACAAGATAAGACTATAATCCTCTCCTTTAGTCTCAGTACAAATAATACCACATTAAAATCTGGAGAAAAGGAACATGATGATCCATGGGAAGGACAGCCAGCTCTGTAAAAGCATCACTGGACGCTAGCAGAAATGGTGCACTCCCCACCAGAACTCATGCTCCCCCTTCTTCCTGCAGGGTTGGAGCTGGGAAGCAGCTGCCCAGACACAGGCTGTGGTTTCCATCCCTCTCCTTGTTGGGGATTGTCCGTGTGACTCGCCCCTGCTGAGGGATGGCGAGTTGAAGTGATGCACCTTCCAAGCCTTGGTAGTGAAGCAGGAAGTGTGTTTCTCTGCATTCTCTGCTATCTGGTTCTAGGACTTTGCTTCTCCAAGTGTGGTCCCCTGACTGGCAGCATCAACGTCACTCGATGATTTGTGAGATGCGCAAAACCTGGGGCCCATTCCTGACCTACTGAATCAGATTCTCTGGGGTGGGGCCCCGCAATCTGTCTTTGAACAATCACTCTAGGTGATTCTAATTGACCTCCACTTTGAAAAACACTGGGATAGAGGACATGAGAGGTCTCCAAAAGGCAAGAACCAAGGTTCCTGAATTGTTGTGTAGAGGAAGGGCACCCACCAATCATGAACACTACTGGGGTGACCTTCATGTGACTCCTAAGCAAGATGTAAATGCCTGTTAGCTTGGACCACTGAAATTCTGGGGTTTATTTGTTACAACAGTTAGGATTGTCCTTAATGAAGGGCAGAAGAAGATGCGATTACAATTAAGTGGTTACAGAACCAGCTCTGGGTCCCTGATGCAACTCTTTCCCACTGTTTGCTTTAGGAAAAGAGCAAGAGTTAGAATTTCATGCATTGGCATGGTCTACCTGCAACCTGTTGTGCATTTTAATTTAATTTAGTTTCTTGGTAAAATTTTTAAAACCTTATTTGGTAACCTCTCAAAAGCAAGAAACTAATTGTTCTTCTGATGTAAAATATCAAGCAAATACAATCAACTATTGCTACTTACGGGGAGGGGGTACATAACAGAGCAGACCCTTCTCTTTGCCAAGACTGTCGTGAAATGCATTTCACATGAATGAAACATATGCCTCCCACTAGTAGGAGCCACAGCATCCCTTGAAGGCTATCACTCCCCTGAAATGAGAGCTACCTCTCAGACTAAAGTGTGGTCAGAAAGGGAGACTTGAATGGGAGGATCATTTTATTGACTGTGCCTTCAGAAAAAGAAGGTGGTTTCTGCATGACAGGAGGTAAGGCTGCACCTCACCTTGATATGGGCTGGAAGACTGGGAGCCCAGAACCCACTCAAGAGCCCCTTCTGAGGTCAGCTGGATGCTGGATGTGGCCAGGCTCTGGAAAGCCAGCAGAGAATGAGATGCTCTTTCTGCCTGCGGAGATTGTGTTCCTCTCCCTGTGGCTTAGTGTCATCAGCCCTATAATCACCTGATAGTCATGACACATGAACCCAGACAGGTTGCTGAGTGTTTTTGAGATGGAGTTTTGCTCTTTTGCCTAGGCTGGAGTTAAGTGGTGCAATCTCGGCTCACTGCAACCTTTGCCCCCTTGGTTCAAGTGATTCTCCTGCCTCAGCCTCCCGAGTAGCTGGGATTATAGGCACCTGCCACTATGCCCAGCTAATTTTTGTATTTTTTTTAGTAGAGATGGGGATTCACCATGTTGGCCAGGCTGGTATCAAACTCCTGACCTCAGGTGATCCACCTGCTTCGGCCTCCTAAAATGCTGGCATTACAGGCGTGAGCCACTGTCCGGCCGGTTGCTGAGTTTTTAAAAGCAAACCTCTCCAGTAACTGGGTAAAATGTTGATGTATTTCCTTATAAAGCTGTGTGTCTCTATTTTTTATATATATACACTTGTGATCCTATAATATGTATCATTTCTGCCTTACAGTGAAATTAAAGCCTGCCTTTTATTTTATAACCAAGAGTCAGAATTCAAGAAATTCACTAGTAAAGCAATCCATTAGTAAAAATAAGAAATTAGAATAAAGGAAAATATTGTCTATTGTCCTAACTCCCATAATTCTAGAATCTTCCTTACAGTATTTGTTCCGTAGCATCAACTTGCTTTCTGATTGAAATCACTGTGTGACTGTAATTTTGCTTTCTGCTTAACATTTTATCTTAAGTATTTTCTATAGTGTTTCACGGTCTTTTTAAATGTAATTTTTGATCCATAATATTCCATAAAACTAAAGTTCCACAATAAACTATCTTCTTCTTGTGGAGTAGTTATATAATTTTCAATTCTATAAGGGTTTTTAAGTAAAATTAAAAAGAATAACTTGGTGCAAAAAAAACCCTATGCTATTTAAGATTGTAACTTCAGTATATGTTATAGAAGAAAGAAGCTTGGGCTTGACAATCTGTGACATCATAGAAAGATATTTGGTCTTTGTCCCTGGTTCTTGACACAGGAGCTCCTAAAACCCTTGAGATGTCCTGAATGACAAGTGTGAAGGAAGCCTCTTTTGTTCTAATGAGGTGGTTGGAGGCCCTAGATACCTTCAGGATGGGGGGCTGCACACCAAAAAGACCAAGTCACAGTGACAGGGTTGGTCACAATTGGGGAAGCCTCAGAAGAAATCAACCCTGTGGATACTGTGATCTTGAACTTCTAACCTCCAGAACCATGACAAGATACATTTCTGTTGTTTGAGCTGCCCAGCCTGTGATATTTCGTTACAGCCCTAGCAAACTAATATACCCACGGCCCCCATGAGCTTACCCCCTGACTTTTGGAGAGAGAAGAGGAGCTGGAAGTTGAGTTCAGTTACCAATGGCCAATGATGTCATCAATCAAGCCTATGTAATAGAACCACCAGAAAGCCCCCTAAATGATGGGCTTCAGAGGAGAGCTCCTGGGTGGGTAAATATCCTTGAGTGAAGAGAGGGTGATGCGTCCAGGGAGGGAGTAGGGGCTCTGTGTCCCTTTCCCCATACCTTGCCCTATGCATCTCTCCTCACATTTGGCTATTTCTGAGTTACATCCTTTATTTGAAACTGATAATACTAAGTAAAGTGATTTCCTGAGTTTTGTGAGCAGTTCTAGCAAATTATGAAAACTGAAAGGGGAGATTCATAGGTTCCCCTTGACTTTGTATTCAAGTTGGACTGAAGTGTGGGTAGCCTGGGGATGAGCTACTTGCACCTGGCATCAGAAGTGAGGGCAATCTCGGGGAATGGAGCCCTTAAGCTGGGGGTGGGGAAGTCTGCACTACCTCTGGGTAGTGAGTGTCAGAACTGATCTGAAATGTAGGATATGCATTTGCTCTTCCAGAGAGAATTGGTTGGTGTGAGAAAAAAGTCTGCCCATTTGGTATCAGAAATGCTGTAAATAAAAAATAGTGCAGAATGCAACAGATTTGGGTTTGAATCATGACTCTGTCACTTTCTAGCCATGTGGCCTTTGTGATCTTTCATACATTAGTTAATATCTGTCCTCCTTCTTAAAATAGGACTAATCTCTACCCTATAAGGTGCTGGTGGTTGTTCTTTGAGGGCTAAAGGATGCAATGACATTTCAAATCTCTTAGCACAGTGTGTCTGGAATGTAGGTGGGTACTGCACAAATGGTAAATATTTGTATTACAAAATAGGCCCCCAAAAGTGGAAATACTGGGCAAGAGTTTGCAGCCTTTTTTTGGGATCTTGACACCTATAGCCAACTTGCTTTCTAAAACATGCACACACTCATTTCAGATGAAAGCAAGTGTGTTTTAAACACTGTGGCAGTTTGTAACAGTTCCTTAATTGCTGTAAATTGTATACGTTCCTTAACTAGTTGTATTTCCTCCTTGCTACTTGCCTGCTCATGTATCTTTTGAATGGAATTTAATTCAGTAAACACAAATAGTCATCTAGCTTGTATCAGTGCCGTACTAGGTGTTAGAAATGCAAGCATAATAGGATGCAGTACTTACCCATTTGGAACTTTAAATCAACTGGAGGAGAAAAACACGTGGATCAGTACCCTCAGTGTGATACATGCAAATAACATATATGTACAGGCAAAGAGAACAGAGAGTAATGAATTCCTTTGCTAATTTATCTCTCAATGCTTTAGCAATTTTTTAAAAATTCATTTGTGAATAGTTGACCAGTTTAAATATTGAACCAACCAGCATTTCTGTTTTGTGACAATAACAAGTCAAAATCCAAGATTCTCTTCTTACTTTGTCTACTCTCTTCTCTTCCAAAAGCACATTCACGTTTGTCTACATAAATACATGAGAACATTCAGAACCCAAGAAGGTGGACTGACAAAGCTGAGGGACGGTAGAGACTGCACGTATTAAACAAGCAGGAAAACAACCCTCAGAGTCTACATTTTCATACAACATTAGAAGGAAAAAAGGGTATTAACTGAAAAGAAGGGTGTGGAAATCAAGTGTGAACGAGCCATATTGAAACTCTGGCTGGAATGGTGGGATGGAGGTCCCAGTTGAATTTTTCCTAAGAGGCTGCTTGGTAAACATTATCTGTAGACCTCTCCGACAATTGGATTTACATTCGAAGAAGCAGATTGAGGCTCACCCTGATAGAAGAAAGTGCAGTGATTTACACAGGTTGGATGGAAGACCTTTCTGTCCTTTGTGTATGCATGGCTTGACTCTAAGCTCTGGCCCCTTTGTCTCTTAAAGAGGCCTTTCTCAAGGTGGCTCTTGAATATTTTTAAAAGTATTTTTCAAGGCTCCCTGCATCCAAGCATGGCACCCATGTGCTGTGGGTCCTTCTCTCCCTCTGGCCCATGAGTGACTTATCTGAGAGATGGGTTTGGGAAGAGGAAGCAGCGTGCCCCTTTTCTTATCTTCCTCCTGCTCTCCTCTTGTAGCCCCGTAGCTTGATCTCTGTAGATGCTGTTAAAGTGGAAAGCTTCAGGTGAAAATTTCCTTGGATTGGAGACTCTCAGTGTCATCTTTTGACAACATTTAGCGTTTCTTGGGGTGACTCCGATTTCTAGATGACCCCACATCGCATCTAATGCACATCTAAGTTAATCCTCACAGGGCTTACTCTGCTTATCATTTATTAAGGACTGACATTTGTATAATTAAGTTAGGGCCCATCATCTGTTTAAGATTCAACAGTAAGTGATGTCGGGGTTTACGGATGCCAAGACACCCCAGCTCCCTGCCTATATTTGGAATCAATTAACAGAAAGATATAGAGAGGGGTCAGGTGGAGATCAAATATCATCTGTTTATGACAAAGTCTGAGCTTGACAATGTGGTGCTGACGGGTGGCAGCAATGGCCTTGCTAATCCTAAACCCCAGAACCAAACCAAGCCAGGCCCCTGGAGCCCTTCCCCCAACCACAAGCAGGGTCTTGCTGCAACTTAACATGGGGAGAGTGGAGCAGAGCAGAGCAGTGGGCATGGCCCCTGAGGTCAAGGAGGCTAGAGGGGAGAAGAAAAGGAGGCGTGTCACTTTCTCTTCCCAAACTCACCTCTCTGATAAGTCACTCATGGGCCAGAGGGAGAGCAGGACCCACAGTCTATGGGTGCCATGCTCAGAGGCAAGGTTTCTCAGCAGCGGCCTATTGACATTTTGGGTTGGATGGTTCTTCAATGGGAGGGACTGTCCCACACACAGTGGGATGTTTGGCCACATCCCTGGCCTCTACTCATTAGATGGCATAGCACTCCCCAAACCCTCCCTCATGACAATCAACAGTATCTCCAAACATTGCTAATTTTCCCTAGGGAGGGCAAAATTACCCCCAGTGGAGTAATTCCGCTTCTCCAATGTGAGGTCTCACCAAAAAGTAGACTGGGAGTAGGGAATTGAAACCGCAAAAGAAACTGCAGGCAGCAACCTCCTCAGTCCCATCAGTCAGTATCCAGCAGGCTCCTCTGTTCTTTCCAAGCTCCTGGTTCATACCTCCCCTGGCACTTGTCTCCAGCCTGCCTCCCTGTAAGTGCCTCTCCAGTGGGTTATTTACGAGTGCAGCAACTACCTGGCCTTTTGCCCCTCCAGCACCTGCATGCATGTCTGCACCCTCCCAGTGCCTGGCACAGTTTGCCATACCTGGGGCCTCTTTTGTATAGGTCAGGAAGGTAATGATTTTAGAGAAAGTTTCTCAGATACAGGAAGAAAAAAATAGATGAGAGTATTTTCCCATATTAATCTTTAACTGTCGCTGTAATTGCCTCAAATCACTTTATGCATCGTCTGACCTGCCAATCACATGGATCTTACCCAGCATAGAAAAGCAGAGACTCTGAAATAGTAGAAAAAATAGCAAGTGATCATCATATCCGTGGTGCTGGCTCCAAGCCCAGGACTCGCACAAAGTACCATTAAATGGTGATAATAGTCACATATATTGCTTTCTTCACATTTTAAGTCCTCTCAAAAAGTGTTTCATATTCATCATTTGTATGCATTTGTCTTGGATTCAGGCTAGACTTTTCTAGTTTTATGATACAAGTAGCTAATTAGGACTAGTATAGGGGCAAAAGTAACTTATTTTGCAAAGCATGCTCACTTGAAATTGCCTCAATAATTGTATGAGCTATTTTAGGAATCAGAGCTAATGTGTGATTAATTAGAGGACCTTGTCCACATCAGTCAGGCAAGGAGCCTCCAAGGAGATGAAGTTATTGAATCAGTGTATCTCCTCTAAGGCAGAGAAACATGCATTCTTCTTGTGATTTCATGACTCTTAATTGGAATGAGTAAGAGACTAGATATTGCTGAGTCAACCTTCAAGGTTCTTGGCATCTCCAATACACCATTCTCCTTGAAAACATTTCAGTATGTTCAATGTTGGGCAGTTCTAATTGTTAGAATGTTCTGCCTTACATGGTGGTGGCATCTGCCTCTCTTTAACTTCATTCTTAAAGGAAGGGAGGGTCCTAGGGTGATATAATAGATTTCATCCTCCTGCCCACAGCAGTCATTGCAGAATCTTCAGAATTCTATCACATTTGTCCCATATTATGGTCCCTGGTTCCTCTACCATCCTTGTTTCCCTCTGTTAGGGGTTGAATGGTATCCCCCAAAAACTATGTTGAAGCCTTAACCACTGACCTCAGAAGGTGATTGTATGTGGAGATGGGGCTTTTAAAGAGGTAATTAAGCAGGCCTGGTGTGGTGGCTCCTGCCTGTAATCCCAGCACTTTAGGAGGCCAAAGCAGGTGGATCATGAGGTCAGGAGTTTGAGACCAGCCGGGCCAACGTGATAAAACCCTGTCTCTACTAAAAATACAAAAAATTAGCCAGATGTGGTGCACACCTGTAATCCCATCTGCTCAGGAGGCTGAGGCAGGAGAATCACTTGAACCCGGGAGGCAGAGGTTGCAGTGAGCTGAGATCGCACCATTGCACTCCAGCCTGGGTGAAAGAGCAAGACTCTCACCCGGGGGGCGGGGGGGGGGGTGCAGTGGGAAGGAGGTAATTAAGTTAAAATGTGGCCTGTAAGATGGGCCTTCATTAAATATGACTGATATCCTTATAAGAAGAGGAAATTAGGACACACACACAAAGGGGAATGTGAACATACATTGAGAAGACACTTTCTACAAACCAAGGAGAGAAGCCTCAGAACAAACCAACCCTGTGGATACTGCAAACTTGAACTTCTAACCTCCAGAACCATGAAAAAAAATATTTCTGTTGTTTAAGCCACCTGGCTTATGGTATTTTGTTACAGAAGCCCTAGCAAACTAGTATACTCACCGCCCCATGAGCTATAGCCTCAACTTTCCCCTCCTTATCATGAGGACCATGATTGCAACTGCCTTGTGGGTTGATGGGGAATTCCATGAGATCATGCAGTGTCTGTCCTGGTATTTAGTGAAATTGTCTTCTTGTTAACATTATTCTCACTATCACTCCTATCATACTACCTGTGTTTAAGTGACTAATGAAAACATTAAATACAACAAAGTTAATACTAGCCTAATTTTGTGTTACTTCAGAATCTGTAAGGTTGACTTTGACCCATTCCTAAATACTTCTTCAGAACAGTCATGCTTATGGCTCACATCCTTATTACCAAACCTTCCTTACCGAAGCTCATATTTGTTGCCTCTGACATTCTAGTTTACTGGCCTCATACTTTAAAAGTATGAGAGAAACAATAAATATGTAAATTATTTTGTTTTTAAATGCATAGAGTTGGTCCAAATATGCAAACATAAAAATAGGTCTTTAGGTAGTGACTTGGGGTCATAGGTTTACTTTCTATGGGCTAAACATTTTTCTGATGGTAACAGGATCATTCCATAATATTTTGTAACAATTTCTGTTTTGGGCTTTAGTAATCATTGAGCAAGTTGCATGTGCTATATTGTTAACATTGTACTCTAGGTGCCCCAAAATATGCAAATACTCTAAATCTACTGATTTGAAATCTGGGGTATTGTGAGTCCGGGGTCTTGCTCCCACCCCCTCCTCTCTTGCAGTTTGTGTTGCCTTGGCAACAGTCTTCCAGCACATCACATCAGGTGGCCTCTTATAGAGACAGCATCATGGGCTGGACAGCGTGCCAGGCTTGTGGCCCTGGGGCATCCTTGATAGATGCTATGGGCGTTATTTTCTGCTTATAAAATCTTAGAACAGTTATGTCTTTACAGATAAGATTTGATTTTTATCAAACGGTGGAAAATGCTGTGACTGGCACGGTCTTCACACTCTCTCTTGGAAATCTGCGATCCTGGGTCGGTTTAATTTAAAACATTCCAGTAATAACTTTCAGACTTTACAACTCAATTTTATTTTGAGAAGTCATCATGAAGGAAATATTTAAGAAGTCTCATTCCTTTAAGTTTAAAAATGTTCCACAGGATTCATTTGCAACAGCCAGCCACTCACCCCAACCCCAAACTTCCAGAAAAAATTATGCCTCCAGGACATTTCTCCAAATGAAGTGTCAAGTCCAAATCAAGTCAAATTTCCAATGTGGAATAATGGACTCTATTTTATGACCTCCTGCGCCCCGGAGGCTCTTCGGAGCCCATTACACAGCTGGTGCATATTAGGTATAGAAGGAAAGAGACCTGAGTGGCTACGGGTTTCTGCTCGGTGAAGCCCAAGCCACATTTCATAGGTTCTGGGATTATTAATGGTATGTCTAGTTGCCTTGAGAATGTTCAACTCCAGTCTGTTATGAATACTTAATAGCAAGGAGAATGTGATTCTTCTCTTTTCAGAGACGTTTCTGTGACTCGGCGAATTCATTCTAGTGTGATAGGCAAACTGTCAAAATTAATGAATTCCAACTGAGATTTGGTTGTAGTGCAGTTGTAAATTAGCATTAATACCACAGTGTATGTTGAATGTGCTACATTTTCACCATGGATCTGGCCTAGAGGATGTCTTTGGAGGAAGCCACTCTAAAAATCATGTTTTCTGGTTTGGTTTTTTCAATTTTTGATCATAGTTTTAATTCTGGAAGAAGTATATGAAAGTAGGTCATTAAGATTTTATAGAACACAACAAAAAAAGAAACAGGAAATAAATGTTATAACCAAAGACATGTTAGCAGAGTTGTCTTGTTTTTGTGTGGCTGTGACTTAAAGATCTGATTACTGAACCTCAATCTATCTAAATGTTAAGTGATTACAAAGGAACACGATTCAGTTTATAAGGCTTTAGATGAGCTCCAAGGACTACACGGCATACCTAGCCCAAGCACATCTTATTATGAGAATTTTAAATAATCTGCAGCAATGTTTAGATCAAAGGTGTTTTAAGTGGGGATTTGGACCTTTAAGGAGCTGGAAACAGAACTGTGTGTGTCCTTTTTGTTCATGACAGAGTGCAGCACTTTCTTCTCATTCTTAAAGGGTTCTGAGCCCAAACACAGTCACTGCTTAACTGACAACCTAGCACCAAATCCCAGCTCTGTTCCTCACGACAGAGTTCAAAGTTTATATGGTTTCTCATCTCTGACATAAAAATAGCAGCAATAGCAGCCTGTGAGGTGTAGTTTGAGGATTAAAATAAGGTTTTGTATTTAGATTACTTAGCATAATCCTAGCACATAATGTGTATTCCATAAAAGCTAATTATTTAATCATGCCAAGAACAGAAGCAATAGTTACAGCTTTGAATATAAAGTTTGATAATGCACTTGGTGATATTTTCTTGGCAGACACGGGGCTAGCGACCCATGTCAGTGGAGATTGAAATATTGCCACGTGTAGATGCATTACCACTGAGTGAAGGAGCACACTTGGGCATCTTGGTGCTTTGCTGACACACAATACGGAATCCAGGGTAACTAATTTCCTTCTCTTCTCTAGAGCTCTGACTTCTCACCTAGTGCAGTCTGTAAGAATAAACATCTATAGGATTAAATGTGACAATGATGGGTGAAAATGCTTGGGAAGGGCCTAAGGTGCTGTGCAAATGGAGAGGCGGCATTCAGAATCATTTGTAGTGGGCTAGGCATGGTGGCTCATGCCTGTAATCCCAGCACTTTGGGAGGCTGAGGCAGGTGGATCACCTGAGGTCAGGAGTTCGAGACCAGCCTGGCCAACATGATAAAACCCCGTCTCTACTAAAAATACAAAAAATTAGCCGGGCGTGGTTGTAGGTGCCTGTAATCCCAGCTACTCAGGAGGCTGAGGCAGGAGATTTGCTTGAACCCGGGAGACGGAGGTTGCAGTGAGTCAAGATTGCACCACTGCCCTCCAGCCTGGGCAACAAGAGCAAAAGTTGTCTCAAAATAAAAAAAAAAAAGAATCATTTATAGTGAATGTTTAATTTTAAAACACTATATGTCACTGAGACTTATTGATATTTAATTGAATTTAGCCTAACAGTCTTGTGTTCAAGAAGTATTAAATATTTGTTGAGACTCTTTGCTACATGCTAGAAACTATTGTAGGAATTGGGAATACATCAGGGAATAAAATCAACCAAAATATTTACTTTTTAGGGACCAAAATTTTAGGATAGGTTTAGAGGCAGACAGTTGAAGCAAGTATAACAAATAGGTAAATGATCGAGTGCACTAAAGACGCTGAGGGCCATGGGGAGTAAGTGCAGGCGTGGGTCGGAGGGGGCGCTGCAGTAGTGGAAGTGCCGCCATCTTTACCAGGCAGTCAGGGGAAGCATCCCTGAGGGGGAGACGGCACAGCCAAGGCTGGAAAAGGTGAGCCAGGGAGTTTCTGGGAGAAAAACATCCCAGGTGGAGGGAGAGCAGGTACAGAGACCCAGAGGTGGGAGCCTGCAGGGGTGGTCTAGAGACGACAAGGAGGCCAGTGTGGCTGCGGTGGGATCCCCAGGGGAGGGTGGTAGGAGATGACATCAGAGAAGAAACAGTGAGGATGGATCCTGTAGGAAGATAGGCTTTTACCTGGAGAATGGGGTCCTCAAAAGCTCAGAACAGAGGCCAGAGATGGCCTGAGCCATCTTAACTGGATCACTCTCACTGATGGAGCTGATGGATGAGAGTGTGTGTGTAGGGGACCAGGGTAGAAGCAGAGAGACCCATTGGGCACCAGGGAGAGGTGATGGTGGATTGGACCAGGGAGTGGCAGAGGAGATGGCACAAGGCAGATGCAGGGTATATTTTGAGGGTACAGCTAAGAGACTTATTGATGCTGTGAATATAAGATATGAGGAAAACAGGGACCTCTACAAGCACCCACATGTTTGGGTTGGGCAACTGTTAAGAATGATGCTTTTTACTTCTTCGATTAAAACTCTCATATTTTAAGGATATTTTTGAGTATACCTTATGTGACTCTTATTAATTTTTTTCTGAAGTACTAACAAATGTGCAGAAGAATCACATACATGAGGAGGAAGGCAAGAAAACTTCTTGAAGTTTTAAGAATACTGGATCCCAGAACAGGGGCATAGCTAAGTGGACAAGGAAATTAGGACAATAATTTAACCAGGGTTCCAATCAACAGATTTTTTAAAGTCTTGCGTGTTTGAGACTCCTAAATAAGCCTCTGTAGGCGAGATTTCAGCATCGTGTGTTTTCCATCATTGAGAGCCTGTGGGGCGTCATTAGTCTCCAGCTGACTGATGTAGGTGAGAATGTCTTATTTTGTTTTTTGTTGTTTGTAACAGAATGCCTGACACTGGTATTATAGAGAAATGATATATTGATTTCCTCCAATTATGGAGGCTAAGAAGTCCAAGGTTGAAGGGCCACATTTGGTGAGGGTCTTTTTGCTGATGGGGACTCAGAGAAGAGGGGGCTGGGTATGCCAGCTCAGATCTCTCCTCCTCTTCTTATAAAGTCACCAGTCCCACTTCCATGACAACCCACCCACTAATCAATTAATCCATTACTCCATCAATCCATTCATGGATTGATCTATTCATGAGGGCAGAGCCTACATGACCCAATAACCTCTTAAAGGCTCTACCCCTCAATACTGCCACATTGGGGATTAAATTTCAACATGAGTTCGAGTGGGGGCAAACATTCAAACCATAGCAGAGAATCAGACAAATTGTGCTGCGTCCACTTGGAAGGCACTGTTCCGCATAGGGTTGGTTTGGGCTCCTTCTGATCATGATTGGAATTAGACAAACTCTCTGGAAACACACTCACTTACAGACTTTGCTTTCTGTGAGTATTTTTTTTTTTCCTGTTAAAGCTGACTCTTCTATGTTCAGACCCATATTTTTAAGTTATCTTTTTACACTGAAATTCTTAATCTTTCAAGTTTAGATATGGATTTACCTTGATTTTATGGACTGTGAATGCCCTCTTTTCTTATCTTTTTCTATTTTATCTATATAATGATACTACCATTTGGGGTTAGATCAATATTTATGATTTACATTATTATGACTATGTAAATATTAGCTACAGCTGAGCCACATAGTATATGATGAACACTTTTTCTATTACAGCTTTGTGTTTTTCCTAGGATTAATAATCACTTGCTTCTTTGTTTACTTAGTTTTCACTGCATGTGTTACTAATTCATTCCCCAAATTCTCCAACGGACTAAACACTCTTCTTAATACATTCAGATGCATTAGCGTGCTTGAATGTTTATTTTTTTCCTGGAAACATCTCTCCAGGAGCCTTCTTTCTGCTTTAATCTGGACTGATTTCTGCTGTATGTTTGTTGTTCTGTTATCGTTCACAGTTATTCTGGAAATTCTTTTTGTTTCTCACCTATGTTGTACCGTCTGTTTTCTGGATATCGTATGTTCTTTCTGAGTTTGCAACCTTTTAATTCATTTTTTAATTGCTTTTTGAAGAAGGGTACATGAGAGGTCAAAATTTTGACTTTGCATGATCTAAAATTGTCCTCGTTTACTTGTTTGATACTTTGAGTATGGAATTCTAGGTCAGTCACACCTTGCTTTATAAATGGCTGCACACTGAGGTCCAGAAAAGGCAGGCCCTTGGTCTCCACACTCCTAGGTCAGAACCTGAGAGCAGGTTCCAACTACAGAGAACCCCAGAAATGATGGCACCTTTTCTCACAAAGAAATGCTTTTTCCACCTCCACAGAGGTCTGCCTTCGGTTACATTTAAGTGTTGATTGCATTGTCCATACACTCAGTGCTGTGTGAGCACACGGTTTACAAGGATGACAATGCCCCCTTTGCTGCATTCAAGGTACAAATGTTTTGGCAATGAATAAAGTCACATATACGAACAGTCTGTTGATATGCAAGGGCAAAAATACAGAACTGGATCAGGTGGTATGAGTACAAGGGATGGTAAAGTCAGGTGAGTTTCATTCATGCAGTATTCCCCAATGTCCTCTGGGAAGATAGAAGAGTACCTCATACCTGGAGCCCGGACGCAGGTTTTTTTTTCCATCACTGCTTTGGCGACAGTAGGCATTGCTGATAAGAAAAGGCAACTGGACATCTACACTTTGTCATTGCTTCCTCATCCTGCCACAGAAGCTTCATTAACATGGAAATAAAGGGATTTACAAACACTCTAAGGACAAAGGGGAAGAGAGATGAGATGCTGGCAGTCATGAGATGCCAATGGCAATGGATTTAACATTGTGGAGAAAGCCAAAAGAAGTCATACTAGAGGAAGCCAGTGAGCCAGTCTCTCATTCAGAGCAAACCCTGGAAAGGCTGGTAAATTCGAGGGACCAGATTAGACTGGAGTCAATCCTTAAAGAGTCTTTCAAAGTTTTTTTAAAAATTGTCATCACTCATGACTTAGGGTGTATTTGCATTTATGAGAATGGTCATTTATTTTGTTTCTGAAACTTAAACCTGTGCGTTACATGAAGAAAGAAATTACTTAAAACATTAGATTTCTGTAAGTCCTTAGGTCAGAGCAAAATGAAAAATGAAGCACTTCTGAACATAGTGAAGTTCTAGCAAAAGAAAATAATGCTCAACAGTGTATTAGTCAATGAAACTAAGAAGAATTTATGTCTTTTTGTCATTTCACTTCAGTGTTTTCACTTAATGCTGGAGTGAAAGGTTTAATTACCGAACTTGGATTTTACATTTTTATGCTGAGGTACCAGTCAGTCTCTGGTTATAATTCATTTTCTTCTTTAATCATAGGAGAAATGATTCAGTTGGCTTTGGTTAACGTCCTCCTCCCCTTCCCTTTGATAATCTTACTTTATTGTTGCTTCACTGTTTTTTTGTTGCTATTTCACATTGCCATGTTTTTGGACATTCAATTTTGTAATTTTTTCCCTCTCTCTCCAACTCTTTGCCTCTTAATCTGCAGAAAGCAATTCTGTTAACATTATTGTGATGTTATCTTTATTTCTCTGTTATTTCTGCTGATTTTCTTCATTTGTAATTCTTTACATAACTCTGTACTCTTTCTTCATTCGTTTGTTCTATTCTTGTTCCCCAGTTTTTATGCTTCCGAATCCTAAGGAGCCATTTACATCATTTTGGTTTATTCATGTGCTTTACTGCCTGTGATCATAATGCTCACTGGGTCTTCTGCTCCTTCCAAATCGCTAGCCACTTTCATGCCTTTTGAAACCTTTGAGCTTAAAATGTAAATGCCGGAACGTAGTAAACCACATACATATTATTCATTACAGATTCTATATTCCTCTCTGAAAATGTACACTTAACCCCTAGCAATGTTAATGAGAGTGACTTTAATCCATCCAAAGGGATGGAGAGACTTTTATCTCTAAAATGAATTCCCTATACACATATGGAAGTAGTACTCTAGAAATGGATTGCAAACAATACTCAGACATTTTCTGGGTAAAACACTAATTTATTTTTACTTTTTTTCTCCAGAGCTTTGTAAAACCCATGGCAAAAATCAGGCTTTTTCCTTCTTGTTGCAAAATAAGTACAAATATTGGATAAAAAGAACATTCTTACACAAAGTAGCTAAAATCTTCGAAGTGTGTTCTTATAGCACCTCAGAAATTCTTTTTGTCAGCCACTCATCCTTGTGGTCCCTTGATATCTATATAATGGAATTTAGATTATAGTAGATGATGTATATAAAATACAGATTGTTACTTCTTAAAAGGAATCTCTTTAGTTATATGTAGTATGAAAACCATAATATTTTTCTTTTAAACATTTATTTATGCATTCAATAAAAAATGTGAGGGCTTCTATTATGTATTAGCCAGCACACCAGCTGCCTCTAAGAATAAGATTGCATCATCTCCTATGAAGCATGCTGCCCCTCTTCTAGATTGCAATGGAGTGGGGTGCACATGCAAAATAGCTATGAAAACATTGATGACAGTGTGATGCAAGAAGCTGAAAGGTAGGACACGGTGTCTAGTATGAAAGGTAGAAGACCGGGAATAAATTCTAAGGAATTGGTGTTTAGCTGACATTCAATGAATGAGTAGGAGTTAATTGGATAAAGGAGGGTGAAGTGTTCCAGCTAAGAGCCTAGTACCAGCACAGACCCCGAGTTGGAAGGGGATTGGGGACCTAGGACACTGAGGAGACCAGCGTGGCCAGACCCTAGTGTATGACAGCTGTGAGATGACATTGGATTTTTTCTACTCACAGTTTCTTAACCTCCAACATTCAAGAATGCAACCTACATCTCAACAAAAAACACTGTTACGTTACCCTAATGGTAATTAGCACTAAAAAAAAAAAAAAAGAGCGAGAGAGACCCAGCTCTCAGTTCTCCTTTTGGATTTTATATTTTTCACTTTAATTCCAGCAGATTTGCTTCATGTCCTCTGAAGCTCTTTTATTAGGTACATAGACATTTAGGATTGTTATGTCACCTTGATGAATTGACCACTTTATCATTAGGGAATAACCATCTGTCCCTAGTAATATTTCTTATTCTAAAATCTACTTTGATATTAATATAATCACTCCCACTTTCTTTAGAGTAGTGTTAGCTTATATTTTTTCTATTTTTTTTACTTTTGGTCTATCAGTTTCTTTATAATAGAATTTCTCCTGGATAGCGTATAGTTAGGTATTTATTTTTTATTCAATCTGACAATGTTTTACTTTTAAGAGTGTTTAGGCAATTTATATTTAATGTGATGGTCAATTTGGTTTCGTTTAAACCTATCATCTTGCTAATTGCTCCCTATTTTTTCTATCTGTCCTCTGTTCCTTTATTTTTCTCTTTCTTGCCTTCTTTTGGATTAATGGAGTATTTTTTAAATTGTCAATTTTACCTGCATTAAAGGATTAACATGTAAGTTTTGTTTTTATTTTGCTTTGTAAGTGGTTGCTTTTAGAGTTTACAATGTCCATCTTCAAAGTAACATGGCTTACTTTCAAATAATACCACTTAATTTATAGAAGGACCTTACAACAATAAATTTTTATTTCCTCCTTCCTCCTGCCTTTGTGTTAATATTGTTATTCATTTTATCTATATGTTACAAACCACACAATGCATTATTATTGCCTTAACAGTAATGTATCTTTTGATGATTTAAAGTGAGAAAATATGATTTTATATTCACCCACATGCTTAACATTTTTGTCACTCTTCATTTCTTTATGAAGTCACAAATTTGCATCTGATATTATTTCTTTTCTTCCTGAAAGATTTTAACGATTTTTGTATTGCTAGTCTACTGACAATGAATTCTCAGCTTTGGAATGTCTAGAAAGTTATTTTGTCTTTATGAAAATTTTTCTGCATATAGAGCTTTAGGTTGACAGTTTTTCTTTCCTGTCTTTTTTTTAAAAAAATGCTTCAAATTTCTCTCCCCTTGTCTTCTGTTTTGCGTTGTTTCTGATGAGAAGTCTGCTGTCATTCTTATCTTTGTTTCTCTAAATATAACATGTATTTATTTTTTAATCTGGTTGCCTTTAAGTTTTTTTCTTTATGTTGGATTTGAACAATTTAATCATGTGTCATGTTGTGGTTTTCTACATGCTTCTGTTTGGTGTTTGTTGAATTTGATGGATAGTTGAGGTTCTAGTGTTCATTAAAGTTTGAAACTTCTGTATATTAATTGTTCGATTTTTTTTCTGTATCTCATTTTCATCCTAGAACTCCAATTATACGTATATTAGGCCAAACGATATTGGCCCACATCTCACCAGTTTTGTGTTTACTGTTTTTAAGCCTTTTTAAAGTTTGTTTTTCAATTTGGGTAGTTTTAATTGCTCTGTTTTCTGGTTCATTGACAGTTTCTTCTGAAGGGTGTAATCTGCCATTAATCCTATTTGTCTAACTTTCATTTCATATATTACATTTTGAATCTCTAGAAGGTCCATTTGACTGTTTTATTTGCAGCTTGGCTGTTTGTATTTTCTCCATTTCTCTCATCAATGAGCTCTTCCTTTTTCCTACTGTCTTGTACATATTGACAGAATATTTATAAGAGTGATGTTAATATCCATGCTTGCAAATTGTATCATCTCTCATTTATGTGTCTTTCTGTGGAATAGTTTACTCCTAATAATATGCCATATTTCCCTTATTGTGTCCAATTTTTTATTGAATGACAGACATTGTAAATTTTATATTATTGATTGATTGTTGGTTTCTATTAATTATCATCAAAGTTTTTTGTTGTGCAGTTCAATTACTTAGACTCAGTTTGTTCCCTTCTAGGATCACTTTTAAATTTTGTTATGATTAATTTGTCCCCTGCAGCTGTGTGATACATTTCTGAATACTCAATCTGATGTTCTATTTATTAGAAGTTCTTACCTCTTTTGCTGGTTGAAACATGAACTATTTTCTCCCCTGTGTGAGCTTCACAGATTTTCACCCACTTCTTTCTGGTGTTCCTAATCCAACCTTGGTAGTTTTCTTACACGCATGCAAATATCAGCACACAGTTAAGGACTCATCAACTGGAAGCTCCTTCCGCTCTCTGGAGCTCCCTCTCTATATAACTTCCTTCTTTCCACTTTGTAAATTCTAGCAGCCTTAGTCCCCTCAAGTGTCATACTTGGTCCCCCTAACCCCACAATATAACCAAGTTTTATTCAAATTTCCTCCTTTTGGAATTATCTTAGAAACTCAGGAAGTAAGCTGGGCCACTCATAAGGTCCACTTTGTTTGTTTCCTTCTTTCATTTTTTTTTTTTCTGTACTGTCTGAAACTTTAGTGAAGACATAGAGTAAATCCAGTTCTTGTTTCTGTGTTTTTGTTTGTTGTTTTATGATGGACAGAGACAGAATTTCATATTTCTAAGTGATGACAGTTGCAACATCATTTCACAGCTTGGGAGTAGATAGAATGAGTGAAATATATTAACGTTAAAGGCAAAATTGCTATAACATATGAGCACATTTTAATAACCTGACTTGGAATCACTTCATAGAAGCCTTGGAATGCTTTCCAAGTCATTATAAGCCCATCATTTAACTGATTTGTGATTGTCTGATCGAGATGACACTGAATTTCTAAGCATTTATCCAAAGAAAAAACCATTTTGGAGTCTCAGAATCAGCTAAATGTTATGCTTTCTAGATATGTTTACCTAAGGCTAAGTTATATTCCCTTTCATTTTGGAAGACCTTTACACAAGCAGTTCATTTTAGTAAGCATACCCACTCACGTATTCCTATGAAATCAATAAAGCTAACTTGAACCCAAATGGCATTTCCATTCAAAATTAATGTACCCAATTTGCAAATTCGATAGCCTGTTTTAGTTCTCATGTTTTCTGACCTCTCTGAAGCAATTGACAGTGTTGAAAACTGTTGGTTAACGTCTCAAAATGTCTTTTTGTTTCTAAGACATCACTCTCTAGGGTTTGAGCTACTGATCTCCTAATTTCCTATTTATCTCCTTCATGATTTTTTTCCAATTTCTTTAAACTCTTTTAATTTTTTAATTGAAATGTTACATACATGCAAATCACTGTGTACACATGCAGTGTGCCCAGCACCCAGATCAAGAAAAAGAACATAGCCTGCACCTTGGATGCCACCTCATGGCCCTTTCCATTCTCTGCACCTGACCCCACCCCCACGGGCAAACTTTATTCTGACTCTCAACATCATAGATTAGTTTTTCCTATTTTGATGTTTGATATAAATGGAACAATACAGTGTAAATCCCTTTGGTGTCTTTTTGCTTTTCTTCACCATTATAGTTGTGTGATTTATAATATTTTATGTGCAGATTGTTCATTGTTATCAGTATGTAGTGATTCAAGGTGCCAATATATCACGATGTATCAATTTTATTATTGATCGATATTTGGTAAGTTTTCAGTTTGTGACTGTTACAACGTGTTGCTGCTGTAGATATTCCAGCGTGTATTTTTTGATGGACATATGCATGTGCTTTTGTTGTATAAATACTTAGGAGTGAAATTGTTGAGTCACAGTGTACACATGTGTTCCCTTTAGTAGAGGCTAATAATTTTCCACAATAACTACTGATTTACATTACTACCTGCATTGTTTGAGGGTCTTGTTGCTCCACATTCTTAAGACCCTCAATATATTCTGTCTTTTCCATTGTAGTTATTTTGGTGGATGTGTAGTAGTACCCCACTGTACTTTTAATTTACTTTTTCTTAATGACCAGTGGCATTGAAGCACTTTTTAATGTGCTTATTGGCCATTTATATATTGGCCTTTGTGAAGTGACTGTTCACACCTTGTGTGTGTGTGTGTGTGTTTTTCTTCTTTGGAGACAAGGTCTCACTGTGTCGCTCAGGCTGGAGTGCAGTGGTGCGATCTCGGCTCACTGCAACTTCCAATTCTGGGGCTCAAGTGATCCTCCTACCCCTGCCTCCTGAGTAGCTGGGACTACAGGAGCATGCCACCACACCCAGCTAATTTTTGGTAGAGAGAGTCTTGCTATGTTCCCCAGGCTGATCTTGAATTCCTGGGCTCAAGCGAGCCACACACCTCGGCCTCCAAAAGTGCTGGGATTACAGGCATCAGCTACTGCACCCAGCACTTTTGTCCATTTTTGTTGGACTATCTTTTTATATTGGTGTGTAGGAGTTCATTATGTATTTTGGGTACAAATCTTTTGTCAGATATTTTCCTACCTTATAAAATACTCCCTATCCCTGAGGATTTACTTCTGGTTTTTGTCTCTTCTTGTTCTTTACACTTGATATGCCTTGGCTGTGCCCTCACCCAAATCTCATCTTGAATTCCCACATGTTTTGGGAGGGACCCAGTGGGAGGTAATTGAATCGTGGGGGCAGGTCATTCCCGTGCTGTTCTCATGATAGTAAGTCTCACGAGATCTGACGGTTGTTAGAAGTTTTCCTGCACAAGTTCACTCCCTTTACCTGCTGCCAACCATGTAAGACGTGACTTGCTCCTCCTTGCCTTCCACCAGGATTTTGTGGCTTCCCTAGCCATGTGGAACTGTAAGTCCAATTAAATACCTTTCTCTTGTAAATTGCCCAGTCTTGGGTATGTCTTTATTAGCAGTGTGAAAACAAACTAATGCAACACTTTTCTTGGAATATCTCACCCAGTGATAGACTTAAATTTCCCTGGCTGCCAAATATGTCTCTAGGGTCTTGGACTCCTATTTCCAATTTGCTATTGGGTGGCCCAGGGGCAGTGCCCTCTTTACGTTAGTGAAACTGACATGTTGTTTCCTTTACCAACCAGCTCTGTCTTGTAGGCTCTCTTTGTAATAGTGTAACTGTGCAACTGGGTATGCAAGCAATTACATTTGCCTCCTATTGACTTTTTTTATTTTCTTCACTCTTTTTGCTCCCACATCCCTGCCCACCGATGCTGGTAGGATCATATCAGACATATCCATAATTAGGCCTTTTTTCTCCCTTCTCACCACCAATGCCCAGCTGGCCTAGACTCCCAGCAGAGCAGTCTAGCCAGGCTTTCTGCCTGCAGTCTTCTCTCCCTGTCTACTCAGTGTTTACTTTCTCAAACTTCAATTTGGGAAATTGATTGTTCATTGTCAAAACTTTCATTGACTTCCTACTTTTTAAAATAGCTTTATTCAAATATAATTTAGATACCATAAAAAGAATCCACTTAAAGCATACAGTTTAGTGGTTTTTAGTATATTCACAGATAAGGTGCCTTCACCACAATCAATTTTAGCAGGTTTTCATCACTTCAAAAGAAACCCTCCTATCCTGTCCCGTTACCCAGTCCTAACCATAAGTAAGCCACTAGTCGACTTTCTGTCTCTACAGATCTCCCTCTTCTGGACATTTCATACGAATGGAGTCATACAGTATGTGGCCTTTTGTGGCTGTAATTGAGGGTCATCCCCATTGTAGCTTGTGCCAGTTCTTCACTCTAGTTTATTGCTGAGTGATATCCCATTGTAAGGCTAAGCCGCATTTTGCTTACCTGTTCTTC
The DNA here is from genome assembly GCF_000001405.40 of Homo sapiens. Classification (NCBI taxonomy): domain Eukaryota; kingdom Metazoa; phylum Chordata; class Mammalia; order Primates; family Hominidae; genus Homo; species Homo sapiens. The sequence goes on along the minus strand of NW_025791814.1, from coordinate 857,099 downwards.
AGGGGATAGACATGTAGGCTGTTTCCACCATTGGCCATTATACATAATGCTGCTTTAAACATTTGCTCACAGTTTTGTGTGGATGTATGTTTTCATTTCTCCTGGGTATGTGCCTAATTGTCCTTATTGTCTGCAGGGCTAAGCGCATGCTTTTTAGCTTGGCACCTGACACTCTTTACAATCTTGACTTTATAATCAGCACCCTTCCACGCCTTGGTTATTAGTGTGTCTGCTGGTCTTGGCACAGTGCCAGATACATGGTAGGTGCTGAAGAGTGTTTCCAAGATAAATGAATCTAAGAAACCTGTAGCTCCCTCTCCTAATCGTGCAACACTTTTAGCTGTGCATTGAATTTCCTGCTTCCCAGCACCTTTTTATTTCTCTCCTGACTGGGACAACTCAATGTCCTAATATTTTTTAAGACTTCTGCCTAGAATGTACTTTTCTTTCCTCCTCTGGAAAGTTGTTTCCATTTTTCATAGGTCAGATTAGTTTCTCTATCACTTATGCTTCTGTTGCATTTTGTGAATGTTTCTGTCACAACCTTCGGTAAATAGAATTATAATTGACCTCACTATGTGAACTAGAGTACCCTTCAGACTGAAATTTCCTTGGCAGTAGTACCAGGACTTGTTATATCTTGCATTACTGGGCCCTTACACAAGACCTGGTACCTAGTAGGTGCTCAATAAATATTATTGCATCAGTGAATGCTTGTGTCACTGCCTACTGCAAAATTCCTCCCACATCTCCCCTTTTCACCCTGCCCTGTTTGAATTTTAAGAAAAGCTAAAATATTGATTTATTTTCTTTTTGGTGTAACACTCTTCTTTATGTTTGTCAGTGGAGCCTTGGTTATGCCGTCTGTTACAGGGATGTAAAATATTGAGAAGTCTGCAACTGAAGAAACAATTCTCCAAGGTCCCTCCCATTAGCTCCCTTAGTGTTGGTACCCCAGGATTTTCAACCCTGAATTTCACAAGATTGTGCTGAATGTTTCATTTAGCTTTCTGTTTTGAACCCACAGTTATTTTTTAGGAACTTTCACACACACACACACACACATAATTCACATTAAGGTTGCCTCTGCCCTTACTGGAGGAAGCAAATGTTACTGTATTAAAGAGCAGGAGGCACTCTATAAAAAGAAGTGCTATTATTTAGGCAGATGGATGGTCCCTTAGATGGAAGAAACAAAAGCTGTTGGAATATAGTTTGGGTTTTCTTTTGCCTGTGGCCATATGATGTGTCTCTTAGAGAATGAGTTTATGTTACATTATTAAACCCTGTGGCATGAAGGAGAAAGACTAATGTAAAATTCTTTAAAAATATAAGGAGAAGTGACAGTAATCCCCCATAGGTCGCTTATCTCTTTAACTGCTAGGATTAAACATTTATTTATCATTTTTTTCCTGCAGTCATTTAAATAATTTCACAAGCTGGCTTGTGGAATGAGATTTTCAATAAGAAACTATACATTTAATTAAGCAATGTTTCTTGTATACATTTACATTTTTAAAGTCTTGCTATTCTTAACAAGACTACTTTTAGGATACAAGAGGATAAATTCAAATATGACCAAATTTTGCTTAGTTCAAATTACCCACAGTCGGGTTGATAGAAAAATAATGTAGGGAAAAAAAATAAAAGAATCCTGGTGGAATTAATTAGCCTTGAAGAGTGACAGTTACCTCATTCCTAACAATATGTTTGGGGTAATGTCAGTTTCTTGGAAAGCTCAAATGTAAAATTACAGTGCTACTATCAGCATTTTTATTTGAGTTGAAAACTGCCGTGTTGAACTATTAACTATGCTTCTGATCTGAACCGATTTCTTAGTTAGCAATAATTTTCATATTCTGACTTATGAAGCATTGCTAAAGACTTTAGTTATGGTTGGGAGAGAAAACTATAAAACACTTACGACTTGATGAACACCCCTGCCTCTCTTCTCTGTGGGTAAGAGCTATCGCTTGTACAAAATGTATTTTTCTCTGCCACCTTTTGGCAATTGGTGTTCACTGTGCTTCCCAGCTTAGCCATAGCCCCAACTGGCCCTGGAGGCCAAACTCTTGGTTTCTGCCAGTGATGGAGACCAAGAGAAAAACGATGGATGTTTCAAGTAAGATACCTGGAGGATGCTAAATCTCATGGACACAGCTTCCCCTAGATCTGACTTTCCGGAATAAAGGCAGGCATATAATGAAACTAAAATAGTGATGTGAAAAGGTTTCACCTATTCTGTATGAGTGTGAAGAGTGAAACTTTCGTGAATTGTTGTCTTGGTTCATTTTCTGCTACTAAAACAGAATACACAGACTGAGTAAATTGTAAACAACAGAAGTTTATTTGGCTCATGGCTCTGGAGGCTGAGAAGTCCAAGGCCATCAGGTGAAGGTCATCCTAGGTGGAAGGATGGAAGACAGAAGCAAGTGTTCAGGATAGAAAGAAAATGGAGGCAGAATGTATTATTTTATAAGGAGCTCACTCCTGTGATAATGACAATAATCCATTCATGAAGGATCTGCCTCTTACGAGTCACCTTTTAAAGTTTCCACCTCCCAGTACCATTACCCTGGTGATTAAATTTCAACGTGAGTTTTGGCAGGAACATTCAAATCGTGGTATTCTGCCCTGGCCTCCTGAAACTTCTAACATACAAAATGCATTCATTGAATCCCAGTACCCCAAAAGTCTTAAGTAATTCCAGCATCAGTTTGAAAGTCCAAAGTCTCATCTGAATCAGATATGAGTGAGACTCAGGCATGATTCATCTAGAGGCAAATTCCCTCCAGCCATGAGCTATGAATCAAAGCAAGCTATCTAATTCCAAAATTCGATGGTGAGACAGGAACAGGATGGACATTCCCATTCCAAAAAGGAGAAAGAGGCAGGAAGAGGTAACAGGTTTCAAGTAAATCTAAAACCCAACAGAGAAAACAACCTTAAGTTTAAAGCTGGATAAGAAACCCCTTTAATTCCATGTCCCTCACCTGGGGAACACTGGGGTGGGGATTGGGTCCCCAGGGCCTCAGGAAAAGCTGCCTTGGTGGCTTTGTTGGGCTCTTGGGCTCAGTTTACCCAGCAGCTCTCATGGGTTGGAGTCTTATGTCTGCAGCTCTCCCAGGCTGATGTTATGTGCTGGTAGCTCTACAGTTCTGGGATCTCAGGGCCAGCCCCACTTCCGTGGCTCCACTAGGCATTACTCTAGTGGACAGTCTCTGCTGCAGCTCTGGCCCATTAATTCGTCTCAGCACCGCCCTAATGGGGACTCTTTGTGCCGGCTCCACCTCTAAAACAAGTCTCTGCCCAGGGCCGCAGGCTTTCTGGGAAGTCTTTGAAGTTTAGGTGGAGAAAGCCATGCCCCACAGCTTTTGCATTCTGTGCACCTGCAGAATTAACACAACATGGATGCCACCAAAGTTTATGATTAGTACCTTCCAGAGCAGTAAGTTAAGCCAGGCCTGGGACCACTTGAGCCATGGCTGGGGCAGCTGAGGAATACTTTGTCACAATGCAGCGGATAGGTCCCGAGACAGCTTGGGTAGCAAGCCACGGAGAGTGCCCAGGCCTAGTTATTAGCTCATCTAGTTATTAGATTAATGTCTCTTCTGCCTCTATTCTGCTCCCTACTTCTTCCTTTATTGTGACAATCTAAAGTTGGTGCTTAGTGTTTAAATGACTGGTTACATGACCATTTAGTTTCTTAACAAGATGTAGTGCTAAAATGCATGAGCTCATTCCACCATACCAAATCTTGACCACCATATGCCATCCTCATAACTTTCTAACAGTTCTTCCTAATGAAGTTTTCTTTCTAGGCTATAGTAGGCCAGGAATCTCATTACACTTGCCCTTCCTCATCCCCACACCAACATATTTATTGATATATTTCCTAACCTTAGTTAAAGAATGAAGTTTTGCCATGTGCACTCTAAGGTATATTTGTGCAAGGAAAGACAGCAATCCTTCCCATCTCTCCTTAGTGAGGTTAGGGGTTAACCTTCTTGGTTTTACTAAATAGAAGTCTACATTCCATATAGGCACACGAGAGCAAGTTTCCTAATGTAACTGTGACACAACACACGTCTCAATGCCCTGCAGGATTGTGTGTCATTGACCACTGTGTTTATACTGATAAACTTTTCTATAATTGAAGCCTTTGGCCCTGGTAACATTTCCATCCTATATGACACCAGTGAAAAGTTAGAGTTTTCATTGGTGCCATATATGGCCTAACAGCCAGAGTGACCCTCAGATCTCACCCCAGTAGTGGACCTGTCAGGTAGATATCATCTGCCAACATCCCCAAGGAGGTGTAGGTCTTCAAGTGTGAGATCATCCATGTTATTTCCAGCATTGTTGAACAAGACACTTCTTGAGACGCACAGATTGACAATAGCTTTTGATGCTTCCCCTGATCAAGGAGAAAGAGGGTCTTATCGGGGGCCCATCTACTTTGGAGACATCTACATTGTGTGTCCCTCACAGGGGAGCAGAATTCACATCAGTATGTAGGCTTTCCTGTTCATAGTGGAAGGGGGGCCACAGTTTGTAAGCATCTCTCTATATCAGGACCTCGCTAAAGGCTTTCGCCTGTACCCCCCACCTTCTCTCTCTCTCTCTCTCTCTCTCTGTCTCAACTTCTATACAGTCAGTTCCTAAACTGTGAGAGGTAATTCCAATCTACTTAAAAGAGTTGTAATTTTGTAAAATAGAAATTCCAAAAATACTTCAAAAGGTTACATTATATTATCAACAGAAGTTTGACATACCACATGAATTATGAGATGGGAAAATGAAAAAATATGGGGACAGTGAATGCACCAACTAGCATTTACGAAACACACACAGCTTGCTAGGCATTAGGCTTAGGGCTATGAGCCCATTGAATATGTGAAGTTTAACTAAAAATCAAAATGTTTATATAATAGATAAATGTTAGATTCTTTTTTTTTTTTTTTTTTTTTTTTTTTGAGACGGAGTCTCGCTCTGTCGCCCAGGTCGGACTGCGGACTGCAGTGGCGCAATCTCGGCTCACTGCAAGCTCCGCTTCCCGGGTTCACGCCATTCTCCTGCCTCAGCCTCCCGAGTAGCTGGGACTACAGGCGCCCGCCACCGTGCCCGGCTAATTTTTTGTATTTTTAGTAGAGACGGGGTTTCACCTTGAAATGTTAGATTCTTACATGAGTATGTTTTCATAAAACAAACTACACACTGTCACTGTCCAGATTCAATGGGTTCCCAAAAACATAACAGCCTGAGAGTCTTAGTTGTGTCATTGCCTTATTCAATGTAATAATTATTGCTTGTAAAAATGTTTTAATCCAGTGATAATCCAGATTTAGTACTTTCTTCCATCTTGGTGTATTTTATTTATTGCTCATGCTCTATTGGGGAGCTTACATGGGATGTTAGTTGGCACTTTCTGATTACTTTATTTAAAATAGAAAAACATTTCAGAAAGACATGGTTGTAGAGGGTAACTAGCAGAGCCTCATTTGATGTCTCCTGTTGAGTTACCTGAAGGGAGATGCTCAGAGGAAGAGTTGCATGCAGAAGGCCTCCTGGGAGTGTATTCTCAAGAGAGACATCAGCAAGGGTGTGAGGAAGGCAGAATGAGTGGAGGGAGAAGCTTCTCTGCAAAGCTCTGATGATAGCGGTCTCAGGTGGGATGCACCTTCAGCATTGTTGCAACTTAACACGAGGGGGCCAGGCTTGTGGAGCCACCTTTGACCAGTCATTCCCTGCAGGCCTCAGACAAGGCAGTTCCCTGTAACTTGGGCTGGTTCCCAGTGTAGGACTCAACATAGGATCTTTCCAGCTGCTTTGGGGCAGGGTGCATTGGCGCTAAAGAGGAAATCTGAAGGGAGCCCCACAGTGTCCACCAAGTGGCAGCAGGGAAGAACATGCTGTGAGTAGAGTCAACCACATCTATTCAGCCTTGTGCCAATGCTTGGATGCTGTGCTTCCTAACAGCAGGGTGGAGACCACCCGCTACCCTCACATTTAGTGAGCAGGTTAAATCTTATTATTATAAGATGAGTCCAATCACCTTTGTAAATAGTGTTAATTTCTTCATCTCTTTCTTACCAAATCATGTCAGTTAACTACAGGCAAAGTGAGGGGCTCATGTATTTTATCACATAGACTTAGTAGCAACCCCAGCACATAGCAGGAGCCTGTAACCCCTCAGCTCCACACCACGGAGAAAGACTAGATCTGGAAGCACAGGCCATAGACCCACTCTATACAGAGCTGCCTGTAATCCCCACACAAATGAGGGGGGACTGTTATGCCACATTTGGTTCTAAGATGAGAAAACAAAAATCTCAAAAGCCTTCATCAGAAAGACTGAATCTAGTTCTGCCACCTCCTAGCCCTGCGTTCTTGCTCAAGTGACAGCCTGTATCCTGTGTCCTTGGTCAAGTGACAGCCCTGTGAATCTCCA